>NC_000011.10:98990606-99293636 GCF_000001405.40 Homo sapiens | reverse complement strand
ACCATGACAAAATAGAAAACTTGAACAGACTATAATGAACAATGAGATACAAGTAGTAATAAAAGTTCTCCCATCAAAGAAAAGCCTAGGACCCAGTGGCTGTATTGCTAAATTCTACCAAACATTTAAAGTAGAACTAATACCACGTATACTCAAACTGTTCCAATACAATTGAAGAGGAATACTTCCAAACTCATTCTACAAGGTACCCTGCTACCAGAACCAGACAAAGGCACAACAAAAAAAGAAAACTGCAGGCCAATATCCCTGACGAAGATAGATGCAAAAATTCTCAACAAAATACTATAAAAGTGAATTCAGCAACATGTTAAAAAGATCATTCACCATGACCAACTGGGATTCATCCCAGGGATGCAAGATAGGTTTTACATACATACATTGTGAGATAATGTGAAACATCACATTAACAGAATCAAGGATAAAAATCGTATGATCATTTCCACAGATGCCCCAAAGGCATTCAATAACATTCAACATCTCTTCATAATAAAAAAAGTCTTAACCAACTGGGTATATAAGGCACATATCTCAATACAGGTCATATATGACAAACCCACAGTTAACTTCTTATTGAATGGTGAAAACCCTTGTTTATGCCACTATGAACAATAGAAATTAAAGGGGGGCCTATTAAGTGCACTTACAGGGTATACTTTCATTTGTGAAGGATTTTGCAGCCAGCCTTATACATGAATAACCTTATGCTTTAATAGTTAAAAGATAAAGGCCCAATGTAGAGAAGTGGCTGGTCCATTTAATGTGTGTAGATGGCATCAAAGGAGTCCTATACTTTCTTCTACTCTACCTCCCAAGGCTTGGCCTCATCTCCCTTTGTGATTAAGTCCAGAGAGCTGGGGAATGTCAAGGCTGGTAAGCCTAGATTGTTTCATAAAGTGCTTTTTATGGAAACTTGGAGAAAATGTTTCAAATGTCTGTCCTCTCTTTAAAAAATAAAAAAATAAAATTTAAAAAGAGTTTTGCTTGACTCTCCAGACACACACTCAGTGGGGATTAAGTGAGCAGGAAAGTAGGTGGGAAGGAAGGACTGGACCCTTTCCTCTAAGATTTGGAACAAGACAAGGATGCCCACTTTCACCACATTTATTCAGCATAGTACTGGAAGTCCTAGCCAGAGCAATTCGACAAGAGAAAGAAATTTTCAAATTGGAACTGAAAACAGCAAATCGTCCTTTCCTCTATTTTCTTACACATAAGTGGTCTTTCCTTTGATTTCACTGGAAAGTCTTTCTTTTTACATCCCCAGATTTAGTATTACTTTGACCTACCATATTTTTACCTTTCAGTGATTCCCTACCTTTCAAGGGACTATTAATGTGGAAGTTTTTTATGTGTTTTTTTTTTAACTTTGTAAGCTTTTATATATATATATTTTCTATTTATACCTAGTCAAAGGCCTTTTCAATTCTATTGAGAGGACCATCAATATATACATTATTCTTTTATTTTTGCCAGAATGAAAGTGCTATCCCTATACAAAATGTAAATTACATTAGTACTGTTTCTACCAATCATTTAAATTTATGAATCGGACATTTCTGGGAGCACTTTCCTGCTCATGTAAGCAAATGGACCGAAAGTGGAAGTTAACCATCAACTTTGTTACATCAAATATTGTAATGTTTTTAAAAGCAACAGTAGCATCAATCCAGTTTGCAAAATCACAGCATGATTCAAATTTTAAGTATTGCCACTTATTTGCATTCTTTCTTCTCACCTGCTTTTTTTTCTTTGTATGAATATATCTTCAGAGCAGATGGTGGAAGATTATCAATAAAAGGCGTTGTTAGACTCAGTGTGAATCCACTAAGCTCAGTCAACATGCATTTCTTAGCTACAGGCTCATTTATTACATTCAAAACAGATCTTTTCTGTTGTAGGAACTTTCTGGTAGAACAGCTAAATTCTTTTTCTTATTAACTAAAGAACAAAGTATTCACTTTTCTGAGATAACCACACATTATACGATGTATAGCTATAAGTTATATAATCGTACACTTTTATTTTAATGTCACATTTATTTTAACAAATCATATTTTTCATGTTTTTTGTAGATTCATGTCTGTAGAAAGCACATTTTTTAGAAATAAAATCAGAAATTTATTTCTAACTAAAACGTAAAATAACTGGGCCAAAGGTAGTTAGAAAAGACAACTCCTATAAGACACAGCATAGCAAATGCTGTTTTAAACAATTTATTGGCCATTTAATATTATGTTTATCTACCAGTGTTGTTATTCCAGTGTAATAAAGATATGAGTGACCCTATTTTTGCAAAAATACCATCCTTGATAAAATATTAAGTAAGAAGTTGCCTTTGAAAACTTCTTTCTTAAATCCTTTATTAAGACAAATGAAGAAAGTGAGAAACAGAAACATTAATCTGTGCAGTGTATTTATCCAAATATGGCCTCACTAGAAAATGTTTTCATTTTAACAAAATAGTCTCTCACATTTTTATAGTATGATTATTACACTTGTTAAATAAATTAGAGAATCCCATTATTTTTCATGCCTGTTATTTTTACAATGTTCCTTAGTCATGAATTAGTTTTACATTTGGACACAGCACTGTGTTTAGCAGCACATACCTGTTGTTAGGCAGGGGCCTATTAATGTATTCTAACACATCATAGAGTATATTAGATAGAATATCAAGTACAGTACAGTTATGCTATAACAATAGTGTCATATAAACATGATATATAATTATCAAAGTAAGTTAAAGCATAACTTTAATGAAACCAGCAAAAGTTAGAAACTTTCACCAAACCGACATTTCATCAGTGATTACTGGAAGAAGCAGTTAAACATGGAAATTAAATATGAAATATAACAAGAATCTTCGTAGTATACAAAAGATGGACTCTGAAAGCTTACTGATGATGTACCTTTCAATTCCATTGATTGGGAATATACTTGGTAATCATTTTGGAAATGTAGTCTCATTATATCTTACATAAAATAAATTGCCAGTTGCTAGAAAAGTAATGCACTTCTTCCCTACCTGATCTTCAGCTCTAACAAAGGAATAATGTAAATACCTCTTTCTGTAGTAAATGTAGAATGAAAAATGAAACACCACCTCTGTCTATGTTACCTGCAGAGAACTCTGATGAGGCTGCCCACAGAAAATTTCTAGTAGCCTTAAATCACTTTGGTGAGTACTTGTGTTTACTCAATTTTGTGGGACCTTTAAGAATTCCTGGAGGTGTGTGGCTTTTTTTCTGGTCATATATGAATATAAATAGTAATCAAACAGAATAATCATAATCAGCTCCTTTAAAATTACAAGCACAAGTATTTGCATTCAATTTCTGCTATTTACAAAATGTCTCTATGCAAGCTTCCATATCTTCTACTTTTAAACAAGGACAACACCAATTTCTTCTTCAATTTTGTGAGGGTTACATGAACTAAATAAAGTGGCAAGCGCTCAATAAGCATTCAGTATATAAGGGTCCTAAGTTTATTTTATTTTGGGGGGGTTATAATTTTAAATAAGAAGGACAGTGTTCTGGAGGTATTAAAAATATTCAGAGTTCATTTTTAATAACTTCAGATGTAGCAGAATGTCTTTATACAATTTAAAAAAAGGAATATTATCAATATGATTATTAGAGAAGCATTTGTATTTTAAAAGTACTTAGTAATGTAAGTTCACGAGGAGACTATAATCATGCATATGCAAACACATTAGATGTTAAGCCAAGATGACTGTAGAAAAAGAGCTATCCCATTCATAGTCTTGCTAAGTGTTACCAAATTTAATGATGAGAAAACACATTCATTTCAAAGTCTAGTTCCATGAAATCATTCATAGCCAGGTAAAATATAAAAATAAATATTTTACAATGATCAACACTTGTCGAGAAATGTCCTTGAACATTTGAGAAGCATATGTCAGGAGATAAAAAATGGGTCTGAAAGATTAAAAGCTGCTCTGGAAAAGGAGGTAGAAGCTCTACAGGGATGATGATCAAAGTAGAATGGTCATAATTTGGAGTAGATTGAATACATAAAAGGTGACAAGAATATTTCAAACATCAGAGACAATAAGAAAGGAAAAATCACATATTTTAGTTGAGTGTATTGGTGCCCATCTAAGTGAATAAAATTTGCCAGTGAAGAGAGAGAAAGGATATTAAGTAGGTAACTATTAATAGCAATGTATACACTCTGATCTCCCAGTAATGTGATCTTCCATTTGAGATGACCTGAGAATATTAAAATATAAGAGACTACTTATTTTCTAGCCAAACAGTCTATGCCTAGTCCCTCCTAATTAATATGTTTTGTGACTATTTAAATGGCTTCAATAAAAAATAAAGATACAAAAATTAATGAACCATAAGTAACGACAAAGAAATATCTGGTACAGTTGCAGAGGAAGGAAGATAATAGCATAATGAATCTTTATTAGTCCAGACAATATGTTAGGTGCTTTCTTATGTATTATCACATCATAGTAACTCTGAAAAACTAACTCTAAGTGTTTATTATCTATATTATAGAGACAAGGAATTGAGAATCGGAAAATAAATCTTTAAGAAAAAACTGTAGTAAACAGTGGAACTGGGAAGGAAATCTAGATCTGATTGTTCACATGCTACTCTTTTATGATAGCTCTGTGAGGATCTAGGAACCAAATACACAGCCAAGTCCCAAGTCCCAGTAAAGATGCTTCTATACTGCAGAGATTATAGATAAGGATGAGTATACTCACAAACTAGTGAAACACTGACCCAGATGTATTAGCTTTTTAAATTACCCACTTAAGGATATTTATTATAAGTAATTTTTCAAAATAATAGTTCATTTTATTTAAGCAAGGGTGCTGTAATGAAATTTGTTTTCATAGAGCCTTTGAAGTGAATTTAGTTTTCATGTTAAGTGTGAGACTTGACAGGCATAGAGACACAATTCTTCTATTCCTTTGTAGAGAATGAAACTCAGAAATGACATTACACTAATCAAAAACAGAACTACATTAAAGCTGTAGTCATCATCCATGGTGATTAAAAAGTGTGATAAATGACACTGAAGCAAATTATGTATCTTGAAATTGACACACAATAACACTAAGATCAATTACATCATTGGACAGCTCAAGATGATATCAAATACTGTGATGAGAGCATAATCTAAAGATGATCATTTACAAGAGATTAAATTACTACATTCTTTTAATATCAGTAGACTAACATCCCAATAAAATTACATCATTTTCAAAACCAGAGAACCATTGGAACATTCTAGAAAACTTCTTGCAGACATGCTCACAGAGTTGACTTCTAATTGGCTAAATTTCAGTGAGTGTCCTAATTGGCTAACTCCAGATATGCTTTAATGATAATATAATCTTGTAAAAAAAAAACCCTGCTTATATATAGCAAACAATTTGCTTTCATATATTCCACAAGCTAATTACCCATAATCATTTGGCTCATTTGCTTATACACATTTTTGCTTATGCATGGATGTCAGCAAGGAAAAATACAAAGAAAACAGATTTTTTCTTGTTCATTTTTCCATGTAAGCATAGACATCTGCAGCACAGTGCTGACAAAAACACTGAACATACCAAAGTGAAGAGGAGGATAAGGGTCCTTGAGAATGTGGAATTAAACGAGAAGAGCATTTGATTGTCGCAATTGGAACAACAATCCTCCTACTCCTATTCCTCTTTTTCCTTCTTTTTTCATTTATCTTCTTTCCTCTTCTCCTTTATTCCTCCACATCCTCCCCCTTCTTTTCCTCCTCCTTCTAACTTATAATTATTTTACTTTAGATGTTAGAGAGACATGAGTTAGTCATATTAGAATACTTTTTTTTGAAAAAGTATTAATGTCCTTATATACTATTGTAGAGTTACATTTTCATTGGCTCCTAATCGTATGCATAACAGAGAAACACACGACAATATTATCTATTCACTATGATGAGTGTCAACTACTAAATTCCTCATAGTAATTCATAGAAACTGAATCATATTATAATGTTTTGATCCTCTATATTCTCATATAATCCACTTGTAGTAGGAAAAGATTATTGGGACAGTATAATTTGGATAAGCAATAGCTTTAAGGATGGCAATTTCTTAACTTCCCTGCCTGTAAGCTGTTGGTCTTTGTGAATAATGAGAGAGAAGGATGTTTGAATAATAGGAGACAGTCTTATAAGTAGAAATTAATCTGAAAGGCACTATTTTTTTCCAGATAAAGCTACATTAATTTTTCTAACTTCCTAAAACATGCTTTTAAAATCTCAAGGAGGCATCTTCACCTCTTCTGGTCAATGTCCAGGAAAACACATAATAATACTATTTCAGCTTCATTAAATAAAATGTATTTCCTAATTGAAAGGATAAAATGAAATGAAATATGAATGTCAACAAGTTCAACCACCTAAGTGCTCTACTTACAGTATTCTGAGTTTTTACATAGCTTCTGCTTTAAATGTTTCCAATGAAAGAGCACTTGTCACCTTGCTGTCTTTTCCACATGACAGCCTTTTAAATATTGAAAGGCAGTTATCATGTTTCCCCAAAACTTCACTTTCCAGGCAATGCATACACAATTTCTTCAGAATTTTAAAGGTATTGTTGAAAGAGTTATGTTTGACATATTCCAAATTCAGAGGATAACAACCTTAGTACAGGTTTTAGAAAACTGTTAAAATAATATAGCTTAGTTAGGATTTGCAAGTTTTTAAAATGTGGTATATTTTTAAATTGTTCAAGAGTAGTAACATATTTTTACTTCAGAGAATTTAGTTTAAACCTTTTCTTACATTATAAAGTTTCTTTTTGTATTTTATGCTAAAAAGGCTTATTTTGTTTGCTTGAATCTATAAATCCAGATGTACTGTGAAACAATTTTTATTTTTATGGATTATTCCATTTAGCTCCAGGAAACAAGAAAGTATTCTTGTAGCAAAGGTTTGTAAACATTAGGCTTCTTTTGTTATTATATTTGATATCTACTGACCTAAAATTTTAAGGATTTAGACATCATTGATGGCCTATGTGTTAATGAGTTTAAATGATTTCTTAAATAACTAGACTTATTTAAATACCATTTTTAACATTAAGTCTCCTACTAAGTCCATAACTAATATGTTCTTCACGTTCTCCTTATCCATCTTGGAATATAAGACAACTCTGATGTGAACAGCTGTTTGTCAAGTTCAAAATCATGCTGAAGCAGGTTTTACCTCACTCCCAGCATTTCTATTTCTGTAGGTTTTACTTCCTTAGCAGCTCAGGATGTTAGATGAGTTGGAAACGGGATAACAGCAATCTGAATAATAGGGCCAAGTAGTAGGTTGAGTGCAGGACAAAGTTGTGTGTGTAACACATATTTAGGGGATGATAACTGAAACAGAGCGGGTACCTCTCCCATCTTTTTGTATAACAACAGAAGATTTTTGCCAAATCTGCTTCTTTCAGATAGTAACAATAGAAAGCAGAAAGAAATAGAAATAATATTGAAAGTAAATGGAAAAATATGAAGACTCTGTTACCCAATTTTCTCTGCTTTTTTTTTTTTTTTTTTTCTCCAGATGGAGTCTTGCTCTGTCGCTCAGGCTGGAGTGCAGTGGCGCAATCTCACCTCGCTACAACCTCTGCCTCCTGGGTTCAAGGGATTCTCCTGTCTCAGCCTCTCAAATAGCTCGGATTACAGGTGCCCACCACCACACCTGGCTAATTTTTGTATTTTTAGTAGAAACGAGATTTCACCATGTTGGCCAGGCTGGTCTCGAAGTCCTGAACTCAGGTGATCTGCCTGCATTGGCCTCCCAAAGTGCTGGGATTACAGGCATGAGCCACCGTGCCTGGCCTTTCTCTGCTTTTCATATGCATTTTTCATTACTATGAACTCCTCTGTGTATCGACAGCTTCCTTCTGTGGCATATCATCCTTGCTGACTACTGCTATTGTTTACATTCTAGTTCTCTACTAGAGCACAATACAAAGGAATCTTCATTTCTTTTTTTTTTTTTCTTTAACTTGAATGTTCTTCTCCTCCTTGTATCCTCTGCTTATTTAAATCTTGTTTAATGAGCAAGGACTTCTTTACTGAATCTTCCATTTTAAAAAACAGCACCCTACTTTAGTAGACATCAAAACAAGGGCACACATTCAAATATGAATCAATGTTCCCTCCTCATGAAATCTCACAGGATTCCTGCTGTATCCAGATACCCGTGGCTGATGGAAGGAGTGGAGTCAGAAAAAGAAAAACCCTAGGAGTATCATTATTTACTCAATAAAATTGCTTCTAAATGGAGATTTTTAACACTAAAGGAAGTAAAATAAATTAATTGGCAGGTTTTAATTCCAATAGATCTTTCCCTTAGTACAGTAGACGTGCAATAACAAATTATGTTAGTTAAAGAAAATAAACTCATTTATCTGCCACATCTGAGTCCAGAGTAGAAATCTGAGAACTCACTAGGTGCCTACCTGGAAGGCTAGGGGTGACAGGGGAAACCACACATTCACATTTGTATTTTCCTTATTATCACTATCTAGATTTTCCAAAGTAACTACAAAAATTTTACATTTTATAAAAAATTTTAAAAATAAAATAAACAGAAATTCATATATAGCAATCCAAGCAAAAAGTGTCCGATATATTTTTAACGATGAATTTATGAAAAACAATTAACCAAAAGCAAGGCAAGTAGAAGGTCATCTTCAATTCCAAGAAATGCTCATTCTTTCCTATATGATATCTATATCTTTATCCACCTATTTATCTACTATCCAGCAGCATGGGTTCAAAGTAAAATAAAAGTAGCTGGAAATGTAGCCATTATCCATGTTTTATGAAGAGCTGACATCAGCTCAGTCTTTTAGGGAAGACTAGCATTTAAACAACTAACTATAACTTACTAGGCCAATATCCTTAGTCATAATATCATACACACACCACACACACACACACACACACACACACACACACACACACACACACACACACACACACACACCACTCATCTCTGGGGTAAACAGTTCTTCCAAGAAATAATTATCAAAGGAAAGCTGAGTTCCTAAGGTCCTAAATAGACCACTGGTAAACAAGGTAAATAAGAAAATATGTCACAGGTAAGGTAAATAAGAAAATTTACAAGGTAAATAAGAAAACAAGTCACCGTTGGAGCCACAGACCTGGTACTATAGATTTAATTAGCATAACAGAAAAAGTGTTGAATAATTTCTTGATATATAATTTAAAATAAACATTTCTCAAGACAGAACTCTAAAACTGTTAAAATATATCCCATAACATGTCATGTGTGCATTTGTGTGCATGTGTGTACGTGTGTGTGTTTAAATTCCATTATGTTTGTTTGTAGAGACTATTGTTCTAGAATTTTAAAGGAACTCAATTTCCAATAAATTCCAAAAACAATTACACCTCTAGTATGAGACTAGCCTGGTGTTAAGCACTCCACTGACAAAGCCTAGGAGATTATTTGATAAGAGAACCATAATTCACTTTAAATCTTGGAATGTGTATAGAGTCAATTGCTAGTACATAGATACATTGATTTACACTAGTTATGTGACTTCAGCAACCTTGTTACCACGCTAAAGTTTACTTTGAAGATCAGATGCATATGTTTTTAATACATATGTCCAAAGCAGTCTTGCAAGGTTAATGTACTGCTCGTATGAGGCATGCTTCTTTAAACCATTCTAGACAATGGTATCAGTTAACCCTTTTATAAGATTTCTTAGTAATCACTTCCAAAGTTTAATATCCTTTCCTATTCCCTTCATTCCAATACAGTTGAATCTAAATTCACTCATTTTTCTCCTATGGCAATTGGACATTTCTAAAAAGCAAAGCTACTCTTTTTTTTATATGATCACATTTTGTTTCCTACAGCAATTCCAAGTGTGTAATAGTTTCCCTGCTTAGCACAGTGCTCGTTACAAACTAGCAAACAACTGGTCTTTGTAATACAATGCTATGCACCAAATAGAATTTTTATCATCAAGTATCACTATGTCATATATTCCTTGAGGCATTTAATTTAGGCTTGACAAAATAAAAGTGGACTGAATGATTCTCTTTTTTTCTGTTTTCTTTCTAAAACTATTCAGATCTTTTTCCTACAACTCTTAACAAAAACTAGATACGTAGATGGGGAAAACAAAAGCACATGTGTGTGCATGTGTGTGTGCACATGTGCATGTGTGTGTGAGACAGAGAGAAACAACACTGACGAAGAGTACCATAGATTTTTAGCTAAAATTTTTAGCGAAAAAGTGCTAAATTTTTAGCTAAAATTTTTCAGAAGTGTAAACCTTTCTTTTCTTTTCAAAGGTAATATATTGATACAATAATTGATTAAACCATTTGTAAATACTTTAAAGAAAGGACTGAGAGAGTAAGAGTCATTCTTCCCAGAGGTAGTGGTCACAGCATGAGAACTCAGAGAAGGTGGTTCTGGCAAACATTTTACGTTGACTAATCAAAGGACCAATGGACTATTTCCAACATGCTCTTCTTGCCCTCTTTCCCCAGGATATCTTGAATTTGAATTAGCCACATGACATCTTTCTGGCAAATGAGATATGATACGTCTGTTGAATTGTAGGAGGCTTTATTTTAGCTCCTACATTTTAGGAAAAAAAAATGAGCCTTTCTTCCATTTGATTGGGGATGTCATGCCCAAGACTATAGCCATCTAATGGCCATTGGGGAAAGGCCCCTGATAATTCCACAGATGCTGACTCCCAGGTCTGACATTACTGTGAGCTGAAGGAATACCAGCAGGAATCTAAGTAGGGGTTTCCTTTGTTGAGGGAAAAGTAACGCTTTCCTGTTTAAGTTACTGTTACTTAGAGTTTACTTTACTAGCAGCTGAAATCATTAGCCACACAACAGTCAGTGGTAACTTTTCTGTGTTTGCTTTCCAAAAGACCGCCCCAGATTTATTCGAGGATTTAATGTTGGCTTTCAACAGATAAGAATGTCACTTTAAAAATTGTTAGACATAATATGAATGTGCATTTCCCATTATCCTTGAATTTTACCATAATCTTCATTTCTTTACTTCTCTCTAACCAGTGCACGCTCTCTCACCTCTACTCTTTTGCTCAAGATTTCCTTTACTTGGAATATCAATCCATACCTAGCAGCTCACATTTCCCTCATCATACATGGAAAAATGTTATTCCCTTTTTGGTTGTTCTTGTGAATTTTTACGTCTCAACTCAGATATCATCTTGTCTTCTGAGTGAACCTTACCGTAGTACTCAGCATGGCCCCACAATGCTATTATCTATTTCTTTTTCTCTGTCATAATAGCTTATTGTCCATATTTGTATTATACACATATTAACTTGCTTAGTGGATGTTTATGTTCTTGTTTGTTTTCAACACTTAAGGCGAGACAATCTCTCTTATTGTAGGAAAAATTGTACTGAGTTTATGCACATTTTTTTCAGATCGTGAATAAAATTTTCCGGTTATAAACACCAGAGCAGACAATACCAACGGGGACCTGTTTTTCTCAGAATCATTCTTGTGTAGTTTCATACACAGTAAAACAAAACAAAAAAACAAACAAAACATTTGGTGGAGCACAGATAGACTACTTATAGCTTGATAAAAGTAGAAGCTTCTACTTCCGAAAATTCTGATTATAAACTGGAAATCCAAGCCCAGAGGCTCCAACGTCCTACTTTAAATGACCAGTGCAAGAAAATCCTTCAATCTTTAATCATTTCCTGGAAACACTCTAAACATTTTATGAATAAGTGAAGTAAAAACATTTTAATAATAAAACACTTCAAAATAGTTCTAATAAAAATATTAGTCAACAAAACATATAAACTGTACTCAGAAGAAAATTCAATATCTTAATAAAATATGATTATATATTGAAATAAAGTAAACAACCCAGCAAAAGAAGAGGGAAACTACTGGTAAAGATGCAATAAAGCTAATGATGACATAGAAGTTATAAAGACCGTGAGTTTCATAAATGAAAGCAGGTGAGTCAGTCAGGACCCAGGGAGAAATATTTAAGGATGCACTTATTCCCAGGTGTTGCACAAGCAGGGTCAGGCAGAAACCTGTGAGTGAGAACCACCTGAGCTATGGATAAGATGCTCTGGACATAGGTGAGGAAGCACTCACTCTTAGCTGATTTTGCACTTACATCAGTGTTACAGAAATTGCCTTTTTACATTTTGAGCCCTTGAATATCTCACTTGCCTCACTCTAGATCTGGCAGTTTTGTTTCATGGTATTTATATGAGGATTTCTTTTTGTTATTCTGGCTTGGGGTTTCTGCTTTCTGAATCTGAAAATTCCTTTTATCTTTGTGGATAATTTCTAGCCACAAACATATTAAATAAAAACTCTGATCATTCTATTCCCCTCTCTTTGCTTTCTCTTTGTCCTGTCTGAATCCTTAATCAGATCTTTTAATTCTATTCAGTAACCTGTCTTTGACATTTTCTTGTTATCTATGCTTATTCTGATTAATATCTTCAAATTTATCTTCAGGTTTAGTAATTGTAATCCTTGGTTGTTAATCTATTGATCAATCCATGCACTGATTTTTAAATTTTTGTGATTTACTAGAAATTTTATGTGATTTTTTTTAATCTGCAAGTCTCTTTTTATTTCCTTGATTCCTTGATGTTGTTATATATAACTGTAAATATATTCAATATAATTAACTATTAACTATTAACTAATAATTATTAATAACTTGGTGACATAATTCATTCATATGTTATTTCTGCTGACTTCATGAATAGTCCATTAAGTCCTGGTACTTTCAAAAGATTATTATTAACTTTAGATTATGTACTTGCAACTGGCTTATTACTGGTTCATATATATGAAAAGTCTTTGGGGCTTGGATTGAGAATACATTCCTCCAGAGAGCATAAATAATACTGTATACTGTATAAAACAGAGATCCTCAAAGCCATCAGAGATTGGGTCTATAGCTATAAAATTTCAGGGTGGAGATTTTGGTTTGTTCATTTTTTTTTTTAACCTAGAACCCAGGTAAACAGATATGTTTCCATATTGTTTTTCTTGCTGGCAATTGAATTTTTTTCTAGTCAAACCTTTCATTGAATGTGTACCTTTTTCAGTTTCATAACTTTATTTGAGGTTTGGTTTTGGCATTCCACCTTAGGTAGGCTCAAAATCATGTCACCTGTGATCCTTTGTCTAAACGATTTTGATGATATTAAAACACCATTCTAATTTAGATAGAAAAAGCCCTCATTTATTTCTCATAGCTTTCATCAATTGCTTTTGATTTATTTCATATGTGTTAAATTTTGCAAAATTCCATTTATTCCTTTGTTTTGGAGGGTACATCTTCTTCATCCCAATTTAAGCCCCATGAGAAAAAATATATAGTATTTTTTCTTTTGTATTTATATTGTCAGTGTTCAGCTCAGAACCTAAAATAAAGTAGGTATATAAATACATTTCATAAATGGATGAATCAATTCCTTTGTAAATATACCCTATTTCCAAATTAAACTATTTCTCTTATAATTAAAGAAAACTATATTACCTTTAAAAATATCCTGATTTTTTTTCTTTTTCTGAGTCGATTGTAAAGAACAGATATATTATGCTTTGTTGCCTAGAAACCTCAGATTGTGTCTCCCCCTCTTTCCCCATGACGCAGACATTTAAAACACCAAACCCACCCTCTGTGCTTTCAGGTGAAAGCACCGAGCCACCTGTAATTACTGATAATACACACTTTTGTGCAAAAGCTGCGTTACTTTTGATTGGCATCCTCACAAAATTGCACAATATTATCGTGGAGATTGAAGAAAAAGCATTTTTAAAATTCTGAACTTCAGCATCATAATCAAGCAATGTAAAAAATACTAGATAACACGGACTTATTCAATTATTAAGGTATCTTTTAAAGTTTACTGAAGTATAAAAATACTACATGATGGAATGGTTTAATGACAACCATATCAGTCCAATGCAGTTCAAAGCTGCCCCAACAAGCCAGTTAAACTAATTTGCAAATGTCAAGCATGTCCCTTTAAACTGGTTCATTAACTCACTTTTGGAAAGCAGTGTCAGGAACTAGGAGTTACTGGCATTCCTCATTAGCAGATCTCCTGGACAGGGTAAATAGGTTTAGATGGAATTAGATTGATTAGTCTGTCTTAGAATTCAGTGCAGCATAGCAAGTTTCAACTGTTTTTTCTCTGGTGGATAAGAGTGAAATATTTCTAGCAACCTAAGTTTCTAATGAAAAGAAAGTGTCTTAGCCAACCAGCAAACTGAGGTTCACTAGTTGAGACACATATGTATTTTGGTGTAGCTTCCACTTCAGAGTTCAGTAACAATAGAAACACCTAGTTGAAGAATACGAAGGAGGAGGCAGTGAGTCCAATAGGTTTGACAGAAAGATTAAATATAACCGAAATGTATTCAGTGGAAATATTGAAATAACAAAACACCAAATGGTTGACTGTTAGAGTGGCAAGGATAGAGTACTTCGCAAAGTATATGTTTTTATAGTGGTGTTTAATCCCCTGGATTCTTCATTATAATATGTCAATATTTTCACTTGACATTATACCTAAGGCCCTGATTTTTCTTTGAAAGGTCTGAGGCAAGTTTAGGAATGGAATCCAGGTCACAATGGAACGGTCCACTATATTGACAGGACTCATTGATCTACTACCAAGAATGTTGTAGAACTAGTGAAAGTGCTTTGTGCTGTGGGATGTGCTTTTCAGATACATTTGAATAATGTATATTTAATACAGATTACTACATAAAATTATACTAATTAATGGTCATGAGTGAAGATGTCCTACTTCTTAATTTCATCTGAGATATTTACTAGTTAGATGACCTTGGATGAGGTATATAAGCTCTTGTTGCCTCAGCTTGGTAAAGTGCGGATAGCAATGCTTTTGTGATATGACTCTTCCAAAATAAACATACATAAAGCATATATTAAAGTGCCTATGAAAGATCAGGCATTCAATATTTTAGCTCCTTATCATCATCCTCATAATCACTATCATCATCATAATCAGCATCTCTATTATTTTATACCAAACTTAATCTCAAGTACAAAAAATTTTGAAATGGTTTTTTATGAAAATCTATTAAATTTTTCTAAATTATCTTATTTTTTAGGAAATGTGCTTCAGTGAGAAAAAACTTGAATTCTGAAAAAGGACAAACTTGAATTTTATATTCAATGATTTTAGAGTGATATTTACTCATCTCCATCCTCATGACTACATCTGTTAAACTTACCAGTTATTCACAGGGTTCTTGTGAATAAAATACAGCAAGTGAAAGCCTAGCCCACTGTTAGCACATAGTAAGCACATAATAAATATTATATTCAAGTACACCCCAGACCTTCCAAGCATTTCCATGTTACAACAGATTCTCGTTTTGCTAAAGGAAACACTGACACTGTGTGAGGAAAAAAGGCTCCTGAATATCAGTTTGTTAATAATGAAGTCAACTAGATTCCTGAGTCGGAAACAGGCTTTGCTTTCTTTGTGTAAAAACAACTTACGTGAATTATTTTGTATTTGAAACCCGTGCTCCAGTCTATACCTGTCTATGAAAAATTGACCTCAATAATCAGAACTTCCTCTCTTTGTAAATCAATGTTAGATTTACCCAGTTCTGCATTGTTGTGTCGTGATCCAGGGAATTTTGTAAACCCTGTCTTGGTTTTACAAATACTTCTGTAGAAGACACTAGTCAACTTTTCGCTTTTTATCTATCGTAGTTCTTAAAATGGCTCCATTTTTTAAAATACACTAAGTCACTATAATACATGTTGTTTTTCAGGAACCTATATTTAAAATACAAATCAAAGAAGCCAAACTTTCTTTGAGTTATACAACAGGATTTCCTCTTTGACTAGAGGAGTTATAAATATAGTTCAGTACTGCAAATAGCAAAAATGGTACATATTTGAAATGAGAGGATAAAAAAAGAAACACGTCTCTTCTTGCCATGAACTACAAACACAATGTCCCAGAAAAAAACAATGTTGTCAGCACAATTCAAGAAATAAAACAACAAGCTGTCACTGGTCTTTACATAGCAGTCTGGTAATGACAAAGAGAGCAAGGCTTCTAAAAGGGCCATTTCAGGTTCAGTGAGTCTCAATGGTGTGAGTGCATGAGTTGCCAAGGGTAGAGTCACATGGAAGTCTAGGAAATGACTATATAAAGACATCAAACTGAGAAATGATATGAAGCTAGATTATTAGTATTCAACTGCTGGGGAGCAGTACATAAAGAGGCTAATGATGTAAACAGTGATGACAGACTAGAGAAAAACCAACTGGTTAATAAATATATGGAAGAATGTCTGGCTTAAAATTTTAAAAAATGAAACTTCTCCTGGGTACCTGTATTGCTTCTAATTCAAATCAACTCCCTCAGCACCTAGCACAACACAAAGCATATTCTTCTATGTATATGATTAGCAAAGATTTTCAAAATGATATGTATGTTGCTTTAGAAAATGAGGCCCTTCTTACTTTAGTAATAACGGTTTAAACAGGCAAATGGAAGTAATAGAAATAAATGAGTAGAGTTGTTTTTTAAAGTTTATATCACATATCCTAATAATTGCAGCCTTTTGACTCTTCTTTTGCAATAATCCTAATTATAAAAGTATTATGTGCAAATATCTTGATTTTAGAACTACTTCTTTATAGGAGAAAATTAGAAATACTTAAAATATTTCACAGTGATAGAATGACTAAATTATGACATAAAACTTGATAGAAATAGTAGCCCTTAAATAATATTTGTGAAAAGTGTGTATATATTTGTATACATATATATAGTTTGTATAAAAAAATACACTCAAATAAAAATTTTCAGAAGGTACTTTTTTTACCACTACTACAATTCCTGTTTCTATTGGTACACTAATAGATATTATTTATTAAGCAGTTAAAATTTCTAAGACATTCTTCTTAACAATTTATATTTAATATATTTCTCATAACTTTATAAGGTAAATTGTTTTATTATTTCCACTTTATAGATGAGAAAAGTAGTTTGCCCAGTGATCACAAAGCAAGAGTGAAGCTGGGATCTGAACTCAATAAATTAAATTTTAAAAAATTACAGGAAAGATACAGATGCTATTCGAAATTCAAATTAGTGAGGTGTAGTTTTAAGTATTCATTGATTATTTAATTATTAAATGTTTTATTATTTCAGAACATAAATATGTTTTGTTACCTGTTTTTCTGCGTTCATGACTTGGGGAATCAAAATAAATATTTAAAAATCTGGGCATGTTTTGCTTTTTGACAAAATGTTAATTTCTAAAGTAAAGACATTTCAACTGAATGCGACAAATGTTTTAACTTTGAAGCAAGATCCATCTTATACCTGTATCACTCAGAGTTTCAGAATCAAAGAGACAGCACACCCAATGAGATAATTGAGAAAAGTTAAATCAGGGGAATATTGAAGAACTTGTGAGAGCAGTTTTTTTGTAACTCCCCAGGGGATCAAAGGATTCCCTCACTGGAATTTATAAGTTGGGCTTTCTAGGAAAAGAGTGGGGCAGAGAAGAGTATAGAGAAGATCTGCCTGTGGTAGATTTTTTTTTTGTTCAAATATGGCTTCAATTATTTCTCTTTCTGTATCCATGTTCTTTCAATGTGGTTTTGCAGCATCTCCCATCAAAAGGATAGGCCTTGTAACTTTTTTGGTCAAATGTAATGCAGCATGATATCATGCCAGTCTGAGACTAAACCTCAAGGGGCTTTGCACACTTGCACTTTATATCTTAGTTCCTTGCTCATTTGCCATAAATCCAACCACATTCTAACCTGCTGAGTGATGACAGACTATATGGTCACAGTTGAATACACTTAGTTTCCCCAGTCAAAGCCCAAGTCATGTGAGAGAGCTCTGCCAAGACGAGCAAATATATACACCCTACTCACAAAACTGCTCACAGATTCATGAGGAATCCCGCTGACCTGTGAAGTCATTAACAATAATAAATGGTTATTATTTTAAGTTAATGAGTTTTGAGATGTTTTGTTGGAGAAAGACCTAACAAGTATAATCACTTCATTGGTAGGTTTATCCATTCAAAAAGCATTTATTAGGCATGTTTTATCAGCAGAGCATTATTCTAAGCACTGCATAGGTAGAAAGATAAAATATGAACATATATAATTTAATTATAGTATAAAAGGTAAGCAAAATCATAATTTTACTTACATTTTTCTGTGTTTTAACCACACAGAAAAGACTACTTTAGGGAGTGGAAATATATTTAAAGAAAGGAGACAAGGACAAAAAGGATAGCAAGCACTAAGATGAAAAAAGATGTGTTTGTTGATTGAGTTTTTTTTTATATATCAATGAACTTGGCTTGTCAATGAAGTCAATAGAGGAGGCAGCATTTCATGAGGCTAGGGGTCTTAAAAACTTTTTTATTCATTATATATAAGTAAATATTTTATAATTAACTATGGCATATACACACATTTATAGATATATATTCATGTCCAAGTTATGTCTTAAATACAGAAATATATAAAACCCTGGATACTTGCATTATTTTGTACTTTCAAATTATAAACTATCAATACTATTTTGATGTGTTGTAATTTATTTTTAAGTTATTGTGATACTACAACTACTGGTAATTAATAATATTAATTACTATACACAGCATTTACTGAGCACTGGCAGCATTGTAATCAGTTTTTGAAAGACATTTTCTTACAGCATCTGGGAGGCAGTATTTTCTCCATTTACTAATGTGGAAAATGAGGTTTAGAAAGATTAACTTTTTTTAGGTCTCAAAGCTACGAAGTGTCAGAGCTGGAATTAGAACACACAAACACACACAAACTATAAGAAGCATTCATATATATATATAGTAGAGGTATTCATATATATATAGTAGTTTTTATTGATATACTAATCTCAAGATGAGGATTGCTACCTCACTGTTATGAAAGCATAAAAAGTAAATCACAGTTAATTATATTTCCATAACATTTGAATTAATACAAAAGATACTAATTATATATCAAACACTATATTGTACACATTTACAATGTACTGAATGATATCAGCCTGAGGTTTGTTGTACTTAAAAAACAGCTTCTCAAAAAATTTTAAAGCAAGCCAGATTTTTAGTATCTCTGAACACTGGTACAATGCTCTGTTAAAAACAAAAAGAGTAATTAAATATTTTAGAATGTTAACACATATTTCAGACAAGTCAAAAAAATTTAGCCTGTTTGAGATTAGCTTCTGTCACCACGATATCATAGATTCAAATTAGGGATCTTAAACAAGAGAAAGTAATAGCACAAAGCAAATATAATAAGCTTACTGCTCCTAAACTATTAAGCCCCAGGTATAAATTGATGAAATAGCACTGCAAAATGGAACATTCTGTGATGATGGAAATGTTTGACATATCTGCACAGTCTAATATGTTAGCCACTAGCTACGTGTGGCTACTGAGCACTTGAAGTATGGTTAGTGTTACTAAGAAACTACATCTCTAATTTTATTTAATTTTAATTAGTTTAAATGTAAATGTGAAAGGCTACTTGTGGCTAGTGGTCAACACAGGTGTAGAGGATCAGTTCTGAAAGGTAATATCTTTTTCTTCCCTAAAAGTTCCTAAGAAGCAATGTATTTTTTTAGTAGTCAATGACAAAACTGATAAAAAACAGAAAATATTTTTATATCTTGTAGGCTTTGAAGATGATTTGACTATTCAAAAAAAAAATCATAAGTATAATCAGATTTTTATGGAATCTAATTTTTATTAAGATCTTTATGTTAGTTATTAAATTCAATCATGTCCATAAATTACAACGAATGACATAATATACAAAACAAATCAGAAATTTCTCAATTATCCCAAATTTCTTCAAGAAAAAAGGTATCAAAATATATTTTCAAACCAGCCGAGATACAGAGATTTGGGAACAATATATTTTTACAGCATGAACGTGTGACATCTTAGCTAGGAAAGGGCAAAATTTCTTTTCTCATTCCGATCGGCTTTCACTAAAGTAGAAGCAAGAGAGAGACAAACACCAGGAAGAAGGATAAATCAGTACTTTTCATTTCCTAAGAAAAATGGTTCTGTACAAATAAAGCTGACTCCTCCCGTTGGGATACACTAGAGAAGCGGACCTAGTATTGAACGACATTTAACATTTTGTTTAAGTGAACTGACATTTTGTGTTGAGAATAGTCTAGAAGATGTTAAATAAAATTAAGTTTGTTTCCTCTTTTCTGTTGACGTTAATGTACATGAATGAGATTAGAGAGTAAAATCACATGGGCAATATAGGCTTCCCGAGCTCCAAACAAGAATTGGTGCATATGTCCCTTCTGTTTTTGGCTTTTTCCCATTTAGACCGCTCGCCTCATAACTCTAGGATTTACGTATCTAATTAGTGGTTTTCCTTACTCATTTTTCTTTCCGTGACACTCTAAGCTGTAAAGCCAAGGACATCCCCATGACACAATCATTGTTATTTGTATTGTATAAATTAAAAATTGTTTAGACAGGCTTTCAGTGTCTCTGTTAGAAATGTAACTTATACTTCACTCTCTCAATGTAAAGTTCTTAATTCGATTTGAATACAAAATTTTATAAGGAGTATTTTCTTTAAATGTTATAAGTTTTTTAAAGTCAATATAGGGACTGGTATAGATAAACTAGTTTATATTTATGCTTCTGCTAATATTAATTTGAATTTTAATACATTGAAAACTAAATGTGTATGTGGAAACCAAAAGAACTGTTTCTTCCTGTGGTCACACTGGAATGGTGTATGTTTGTGTTTTATTTGAATACAATTAACACTTTGTTTAATGTAAGTATCATGGTACAGATTAATTTTTAAATTGTGTGCATTTCACCATAGTTCCCATGTTATGTAACAGGATATATCTAAATGTGAGAAAAGAAAATAATTAAAATTATACTTAATTTAGGTAAAATATAATTAAGTAAAAATAATTATTTTTGCTGGGCATGGTGGTGTGCACTTGTAGTCTCAGTCACTCAGGGGACTATGATGGGAGGATTGTTCGAGGAGTTTGAGGCTGGCATGAGTAACACAGCAAGACCCTGTGGCTAAAATAATTTTGTAAAAATACTATTTTTTCTTAGATTAAAAAGTTTGCATTTGTTATCTTTCTATAAGCTCTTAACAGCAAAACTCTATGTTGACCAATCAGTGAATTATGATTTGCAGTTAAAAAAAAAAAAGACTGCTTACTCAAATAGATCTCCATTGAATATAAAAACACAAGTACAGGTACAGCACAAGACAATATTTAAAAGCATACATTCTTGGACCAACCTGCTTGAGCACAAAATGTGACGCAGCCAGTTAGTTTTGTGACATTGGGAAAGATACTTAGGTGCTCTGTGCTCAGTTTTCTTGTGAACAAATCGACTAATTAAAACCCTTATATCATAAAGTTGCAGTAAGAATTGAATAAGTTTTTATGTATAAACCTTGTAGGGTTGACTGAAAGATAGTAATACATTTTGTGATAGTTTTAAAATATAACACCTACCAGTGGAGACTAATTCCCCTACATTTGATTGTGGTGCATTTCTTAGTAACTTCTAACAGGCTGAACATCGTGAAAATGCTTGAGTGTGACTTCCGAAGGTAGGTCGTAAAACACATTGAGGCTTCTATCTTTTTTCTTGGATCAGTCAGTCTGGGCAAGGCAGCTACTAAGCACTGAGGACACTCAAGCTAGGCTAAAGAAACATCCATGTGGCAAGCGACTAAGGGCTTTTATCAATAGTCAGTAAGGACCTGAGCCCACCTGCTGACAGTTTTGTGAGTTCTCTTGGAAGTGAATTCTGCAGCTCTAGTTAAGCCTTTGGATCACTACAGCCCCAGCCAACACCTGGATCACATCCGCATGGAAAACCTCTTGCCAGAAATACCCTACTTAGTCCTTCACAGACTCTTAACCCACAGAAAATGTGAGATGGTAAATATATGATGCTTTAGGCTATGAATTTTGGAGTAATTTGTTATGTAGCAATAAATAATACAAGTGTTATTATGATTTGAGTCTAAATTGCACTGATAATTTTATTCTAAAAATGAATAAATTTTGTCAAAGTGTATTTCCCCATCCCATAAATAAAATAGTTTCAGATGTTTTACAACAACTGAAAAGTAGAACTAACAGTTTCCAGGATGAGCATTAATAAAATATGCATTAAAATATACTATTTTAATTACCGTGCGTGTTTTTCATCAAAAGAAGTAGTTAAATAAAAAAATGCATTTTCCATTAATGTTACACATCACACTTAATTGCTCCCACTTCAGAATTCATAAGTCTGATTAAATTAACTTTTTTATGTCCTGAGGTGCAAATTAATTTTATATCAACATAAGATTATTTTTGTTACACAACAAATGGAGACTATAAAACTAGGTAAATTATGCCAGTTTGTACACTCATTCATTCATTTATCTAGCAAATATTTATCATGTTCCAAACACAGCTCTACACTCTGAAGGTGTAATGTATGAAGACAGACATGATTCTTTTGCTTCATGGAGCTTTTAGTCTAGGAGAGTATGTTGGTAACAACCCTGATTTTCATCTAAATAACACACAGGAAACTTTTACCAAATCATGCCATTACGTTGAATACAAACATGCATTCTATGCAGAGTCCCTGTTTCACAGATGTAATTATTATGTAGGACAGAACAGAGCCACCATGGCTGTATTGGCACCATGTTTCAAAGTGGATTTGGAATTAGTATTATTTCTTCTCAAATACATGAATGACAGCATGTCGGTATAATATTAGGAAGGCTGGCAGAGAGTTTCTGTTCTAAATGCCTATTATTAATTTCACTTTAACTCACAAAATTTTATTAATAGAAAAACATTTTGTGCTCCAAAAATGAAGATGAACCTTAGTAGAGCTGGTAGAGGTCATATGTAGACTATTTTAGGAAACATTCGAGAAAAAAGACTCATTCATAATATATTCAAAGTTATATTCCCAATTCTGATGGAAGAAAGGAGTAGTGTTATAGACCAAAAATACTGTTCCCGAAGGTTTTGGGGTTAGGTCTCCACTGATGAGAGGTAAGAAGGTTAAGAAGGTGCTGGAAAAATTATTATTCATGAATTTTTAGAATTATAGCATAACGACAGGGATGTTTTGCTTATTTAGAAGGACTGAAGATGGTGTAGATTAATTTGGAAAAATAAAAAATGCATACCCTAATGAAAAACTATTTTAAATATCCACTCTATTGTGGTTTTGAAAATTACTTAATACATGTATTACTCAATAAACACATTTCAAAGCATAACATTTTATCTCATAACTATGTACAATTACTATGTGTCAGTTAAAAATGAAATAAAACACAAAAATATGGAACAGTGTTTTTAAGGGCTTGGTGGAGTAGGGTTAAAATGAGCACAGGATACAAACGTACACGACTGGTAAGTAAATAAAGAGATTAAGAAGGGCACACACACCAATCCTAACAAGTTTTATGTAAGGCTAGTCCATAGCATGTAAATGTTTACCAAGTCTACGTTTTTCTTCTGCATTTTTTCCCAAGTAGAGTGTTTGCTATTTCAGAAGAAAAGCATAACAACTACCAAATTGAATAACATAGTATCAATTATAATATAAAACAGTCACTTATGAAAATCAAATTCTGCAATTTATATCTAATTCTTGTGGGATTGTTTTCCTCTAAGAGACACAATGCTTATGAAAATAATCCTACCCTAGAAGTAAGTTTATAATATTATAGATGACTTATCTGAAATATTTTCAATTATCTTATAGTACATTTATATTTCAAGTTGTGTAGACTCCTAGATTGAAAAAATGTGTCCAGTGGAAGTTTGGTCAACACTTTTGTTAATATAAGATATCTCTGGACATGAAGGAAGACCTTACATTGACTCTGAGTAAGGACAAAACAGGTTTAAAAAATACTTGCCTTGCCACACGCATAGTACAAGATCATTTCTTGTTTACAATCACGTACCTGTTTAGAATAAAAACTGGTATGTTCTATATGCAGTTCAGTGTTAAATGCCAAGCAACAAACAAACAGGTCAGCTCTTTTGAGTACATTATTTTTTAAACAATCTTTATATTATTAGTTTGTTTATCTCCCCCACGATTTAAAAAAAAAAATCAGGGAACAAATAAAAATATGTCATGTATATATCATTAAACTATTACCTAAAGTAATAAAATGTAACATAAATATAACACAGGAGATAATAATTAATCCTTCTATTTTAAAAACAAAGAAAATGAGAGACAGAAAAGGATTTAACAAAGGGCACTTAACGAGTCTCTAGCAGAGATGGAAATAAGACTAAGGCACCAGGCAGCTCTACCACACCCAACATCATGGTGCTTTGGCACTTCGACAGGATGATTAACTTTGACAGGTTAAATTAACACAAACATAAAACAGAGGAAATCTATCCTTGCTTGTCTCTCTGCCAGGAAATACAAGCCTGTAATTGCTGTGATCCAGCTCTTCAGCATAAAACAGGTCAAATGCTTACATCAAGAGATTGATTTTGCGGAAGAAGACTCTACTCTGATTTTAGGGTCATTGGAGATTACTATCCTTTCACAGCAGGGCTTTCTCTTTAAATTCTACCTGGGTTAAATGTAGGTACATCTAAATACCATGGCCTTTCTAAACACATCCTTTAAAAGGAATTAGACAATCATTAGACGAATGCTCTAAAAGGAATTATGTAACTACACTCTAAGCCTTTATTTCATATCCATATTTTTTGTAAGGACAAATAAACACATTTGAGCACATATTTGTTCAAAAATATATTTGATGTGATGTGTGTTGATCCAATTATTCCTCACTGATTATGTATACTACCATACCAGACATTTTGGCTTGCACATTAAAGATACTATGACTTCTCACTTCTTTACCTAAAACGCAATGAATAAACACCTTTCAGGGTCCTTGTTTTCATGATAAACAATGTAGGGACTAATAATGACCTTTTTGCAGTATTTTTTCAATAATGCTTTTATAATTTTCCATTATATTTTATTTTATATATGATCTAATATTATAATTATTACTTTACTAATTTACTCATAATTTTCAATTTTATTAAAAATAATCTCATTAAACTGAATTTAACCTTTGGAAATGGTTAAATCATTTTGGCCAGTGTTGATATGCTTGTTTCTGGCTTTGTTTTTATAAATTCTCCAACTCATTGGTTCTACTTTCCAGTCCAAGCCATTGGCTTCTAGGCACCTTTCTTTAATAGCTACTTTTTATTCTGGGTTTATTGAACTGTCTTAAACACATTATATGTTTTATATTTTTTAATCTCAAAATAGCTCTTGGTTGAGATAATGGAGCTCAGAAAGATTAAGTAACTTGCCTAAAACCAAATAGCTAGCAAACAGCAGAGTGATGATTTAAAATGAGGACTGCCACATACCTTAACTAAATAAGAAATACCTCTGTCATGTGGACACCATGCTCTTGGTTCAACTTGCACCCAAACAAGACTTGATCCTTTGTATAATGTGTGTGTGTGTGTGTGTGTGTGTGTGTGTGTGTGTGCGTGTGTGTGTGTGTTTACTTGATAGAGAAAGAGAGAGAGAGCACAAGGAGGGAATAAGAGAGATCTCTAAGTTTGGCATAAGTGATAGAAGAGAAATACAAGGATACCATGAATATCTGGAACTCACAGATGAATCCATACACTGCAATGTGTTAGTGCATTAGAATATGAAGCAAATGGAATTCAATGAAATGGATGCTTATTCACTTATTAATGTTTTTCATTGATTTTATGGGAAGCTTATAATGGTTGTATGCCCTTTCATCAAAAAGAAGATGGAGCCAATTTAAATGTTTTAATTGTTGGGGTTAGAAATAGATTTGCTTTTATCAAATCAATATTGCCTTGACCAAGTATCAATTAAACTAACAAGGCTCCTACTATCACATGAACGAAGGGGTTTAATTAAATTTCTTTCTCTCACTTTCATAATGAGAGAAAAAGATAAGTGTTACATTTTTGAATTGCACATAGACTGTAACATAGATACCAAAAATATAAGCGTTAGAAAGATTGAAATTTACATTAAAGACACCAACTGAAAAAAAGATATTTTCTTCATCATTCCATTTTCCATATTTCTAAGAATATTTCCACCATTTACCTTTGTCATCTTAAAAAAACTAACAAACTCACGTGGTTATTTCATTGTTAGAACTAGTTGGAAGTTTGCATTTTCTATGAACAACCCTAGCATTGGGAATTCTATTGTCAATAGACAATGACTTATTAAGGTCTCAGTCAAGTCTTCAGAGTATTATTTCTATCCTTGTCTAGCTGGCTTCGTGGTATCAGTGTCATTCATCTTCATTCTTCTCCATGTTATTACCATTTAAGAAGTTTTAGAATTCACGTCTTATCCATACTCCCAACCTTTTTTTTTAAAGCCTTCTCTTATTCTCCAGTACTTACAGAATGCAGTTCAATTTTCCTTAGGATTAAATTCAAAACTTTTAAATCTTCCTTCTGTCCATAGTCCAAGATGCCAGAGCACTTGGACTAACTGCAATTCCATAAAAACACTGCAGCTCTTATTTTTGTTATTTGAGGTTGCGCATACTTATCTGTCTCTGCTGAAAATGGCTTCTCCCATCATCCTTTCTGGCAAAGTACACTTGTTCCTCATTATTTGTTCAGGGCACCTCCCCCCATACTAAAATTTGCAGATGCTCAAGTCCCTTATAAAAAATGGCATAGGCTTTGCTTATAACCATTATGCAATATACGTCACAGTAATACATTATGCTATGTTGGCAAAATGTTTTCATAGTTTAATGTGCTTCCTCCCATATGCTTTATTCATTTATTATTATTTTTTAAGACAAGATCTTGCTCTGTTGCCCAGGCTGAAGTGCCGTGGTGCAATGATTACTCACTACAGCCTCAAACTCCTAGGATCAAGCAATCCTCCAGCCTCAGCCTCCAAAGTAGCTAGAAATACAGGCGCATGCCACCATGCCTGGATAACTTTTAAAAAATCTTTTGTAGAGATGGAGTCCCACCAAGTTTTCTAGGTTGGTCTTGAATTCTTGGCCTCAAGCGATCCTCCCACCTATGCTTTCCAAAGCACTGGGATTACCTGTGTAAGCCACTGTAACTGGCCTGTCCTCTATACTTGAAATCATCTCTAGATTAGTGATAATATCTAATACAATGTATATGCTAAGTAAACAGATGTTATAATGCATTTTTAAAATGTTGTATTGATATTATGTACTTATTTATTTATTTATTTTGTTCAAATATCGTCAATTGTTGGTCAATTGAATTCATGAATACAGTGGGCTATATTATTGATTTATCCAGAAACAGATCAAACACCATTTCCTTTCTGAACTTATTTTTATACTTCCCCTGCTTCCATCTTCCTCTGACAAACTTAATCACTTATCCTCTGTTCTTCCTATATCTTGTACATTTGTATCATAGAATAAATTATGCTATATTGTCACAATCTGTTTATGTATCTGTTTCTATCATTGAAATTCAAATTCAGTAATTCAATGTTAACCTTCTATTTATCATTCTATACCTTATGCCAAACTTAGAGCTTAATATAGTATATAATAGACACAGCTACTTACCGAGTGAATGAGATTTTATTATTTTAAAGCCTATTTCATTCAATAAATAGTAAAATGGATTATGGTGATCGGTGGGGAGCAGTAAGCAATAAGTAATACTGTTGTAATGGATGATTTGTTTTCTAAGATAAAATATATAAATATAAATATGAGTTGGGTGGGAAGGGGCTGGATAAGAATTTCACATAAATTACTGAAAATTACAACTTAAAAATCAAGCAGCAATTTATTTTCAACATTAGAAAGGGAAAACCCTCAGCAAGACATCAAATATTTCTACCTTTGTTATGCAAGCTACAACACCTCTAATCATTTTGCCTAGAGCTTCAATCATGCCAATTTTCAAATATGTTGTCTTTCCCTGTTTTATTGTCTTTCAGCTTCATTATGCACTAAACCAATTAATTAGAGCACCAAATAATAGGGCCACAGTTCCAAACTAACTTGCAATATTATCACCCTTTTGCCAGTGGCAAAAGCAATGATAACAATGATAAATCTATACTCTTTCTTACTAAATACCTATTAAAATAAATGATTCAGTAAAAGTATTTGCACACAATTCTACAATATGTGTGACTATTTCCTGTTTTTATAGTGCTACATGAAGAAAAAAACATTTTTTCTGCAATATTATTCTCATTCCAAATTTTTCTCTATATGCCTTACTCTTCTAGGTCCTTTTCAAGTTACTATTTTTTTTTAATTCTTTTGGAAAGAGCAAAGTTAGTGTATCATTCTAATAATACATGGAGCACACCTAAGTTTTAATTGTTTACTTTAATTCACTTAAACTCTTAAATACATTTAACAGGGAGATTGTGCTTGTTTTTTGTAGCTAACATTAACAATCTTTGCAATAAAAGTATCTAAGGATCTTCAGTACATTCAAAGAATTATAAAAACATAAAATTAGCTGATAACAAACTTTTCAAGTAGCAATATTACCTATCCTGTCATGTTGAAGTTTAACATAAAAAAATGAAGATAAATTAATATGCATTTTCTTGGAAAAATGGTAAATTTTAGTTTACTGCAGAAATTGTTCTTGGACAATATCTTATACTAATACACACAAAAATAACTTCTTAGTTTATGATCAAGTTTATGAACTTTGTAAAATTAATGATGAGAGAGGATTTTTAACAGATCTAACTTTAGGCATACATTGCTTGAAAATTCCAAACGATTGAACAAATTCTAAAGGAAGGTTTTCTCAAACTATGTTGCATGATTGAATAAAATCTATCATCTTCATGTTGCATCACTGTGGAGTAAGCCAAGTGTGTCTTCCTTTACCTCTGCTTTTATATGTAGCATTTCCCCTGCTCCAGGTACCCAGTGAATTCATATTATAGATCCCCAAATATAGCATCTCACAATCCGAGGATGGTAAGACTTTAACTCAATGCCTCCCATAAAATCTATGTTTGTAGGTTTATATATGATAGATGTTTTTATCCTAAAATTACATTTAATTAATTTCAACAAAATAAAATTATAATTAAGTGCAAAAAAGGGGTAACAATATCCAAACAAATTTTGTGTAAGTAATTTAGCCTATAAATTCTAAGAAAGGTACAATCAAGAATAATTAAATAATATTATTAAATAATATTAAATAATATCTTCTTGTATAAAATTTAAAATAATCATTGCTCTTCATTGTTCATAGTTGTAGAAATAGGTATCCTGTGAGCATGAGTTATGCTATTTTGTAACTGAAAATTATAGAATATCTGTATTTTTATTGAAGTGTGTAACTGATATTTTTTCTTTATAATGCCTGCATTCTCAATCGCAAGGGTCTATGTAAATGTACCAGAAAAATACAGCCAGAACTGTAAACAGCATATAAAGTAAATGATAAATACTTATTGATTAACTGAGTTAAGAGACTATTAACCTCAAATATGCACAGGATTTTGCTTCGGGTAACAACTAGAGTAGTATTTAGCTAATTTGACTTTTCAGAAGATAAGTAAAATGAAATAATCTTTAATCAGGGTAATATGGTAAGAACCTGTCTCTACAAAAAAAAAAATTAATAGCTGGGCATGGTGGCACACACCTGTTGTGTTGTCCCAGCTACTTGTGGGGCTGAAGTGGGAGAACCACTTGAACCCCAGAGGTCAAGGCTGCAGTGAGCCATGATCACACCACTGCCCTCCCATCTGGGTGACAGGGCAAGAACCTGCCTCAAGAAATAAAAATCAAATAAAATAATTTTTCCTTTCTCCCTTTTTCCCCCAAAGCAAGAATTTTGAACCAACTTTATCTTTATACAAATTTTCTTAGATGTTCATACTATAATGTATGTGTCTCATAATCAGAATAAATTTCCTTGAAAAATCATTAAATAAAACCAATTTTTCATAAGATATTGAGGTTTTTCACATGTAATAGACTTTTGTACAATTTTAGGCATATTAGTGTCAGATTCTTAAAACTTTGTTTTTGATATTCATAAGATTTGAAGACGATAAAGCTCAATTGACATGCACAATCATTGATCACTGAACATAATGGAACTTTTCAAAAGGATAGTTTTTTCTCCGGGATAAAAGTAAGGAACTAAGATCAGGGTAGTGTCAGCAATTGTGCTGATTACTGTTGGCATCACACAGGAAACACCTTACATGAAAAGGAGCGTAGAAGACACATAAAAACCATCTGATATATCTGCCTGTGCTCAAAATTACCTCCCAAATTTCAGAAAACCAAATTATTGGTTTTCAGAGGACTTCTTAAGACAATAGGACTTTTTGCTGACTTAATTCTTTACACTTAGGGATCATATGGCTGATGTATTCTATGTAATGGAAAGCATGGCATCCAATAAAATTCATTTTGACATAGGGAAAGAAAAGAGAGTTATAATATTCAAACCCATCCAGCCTTCATCCTTTCTTATTATCTTTCACCTTAAGAAGTGTTCTTAAGAATCAACAGTAAAGTAGCTCTGTGCTAGGTGTTGCAGGAGAAAGAATAAATTGTAAGCCATTACCATTACCTTTATCTAACTCATAAATATGAAGAAATGCATAAATATTTTAAATAAAAGAATTCAATTTAACGTTTTTAATTAAGAGGGGCCCTTAAAAACAAAGCAGAATAAAACAAGTTTTTACATAACATAATTTTAAACATTAATATAAATAAACTTCACTTGGTATTCATCCATATGTGTATGTAAAATATAATGAAGCAAAAAAAAGAGAGAGAAAAAAAAAAAGAAACAAAGAAGTCTATGATAAGCAATACATGTTTTTTGGCTCAGAAGACAAGGAGGTTAATTATGCCAACATTTTGAAAGAGGTATTATAGAGTAGACAAAATAAAAGCTGTCCTCCTGATTAATAAGTGAAACTTAGAGAATAAATAATGGGAAGAAGTTCCCGTAGAAGATGCTCAATCAATAATAGTAGCTATCATTATGATTACTATCATAATAATTATCATCATGAAATTCCATTATCAAAATAATAAAAACAAAGTATTTCCAAAGTTAATTTCAAGTACTGTTTTAAGGGTGTCAAATAGATTGTTTTATTCATTCATCATGAATTCTCTCTGAGTAAGGTCTGTTTTTAAAAAGGGAAAATAGGCTTGCAGCTTAAGCCTCTTTCCTAGGGCCACAGAGTTAAAAACTGTTAGAGGTGAAAGTCATATCTCAGTACTCTATCTCCAAAGGCCATGGCTTTCAAATGTCACAGTTTAATCCCTGCTTAAAGGAAATATTGAGAGGAGGAAATGTCATGAATCTCAGGGACTACATGATCACCAGTATGGTTTAAGCATATGGTTCACATTAGAAATAAACCTTAATTTCAGAAGCTCAATTAGGAGATTTTAGGCTAAGGAATATCCTTAGAGACTCCTTTGGTAGATGGAATGCCCGAGGGGTGCTGAACATCAGCTTTGCTTTCTCATGATTTGGCTTAGGAAGGCTCTACAGTATGAGAATTTACAGGGATTTAGACCCCATGTCAATCAGATTGTACTGAAAGTTATGCCACAAATGTGTCGTAATAAAAGTACATGCTTTGTGTAAGTCACTCTAGATGTATAAGAGAATGATATCAAATTCAAATACACCTATCACCTTACCTATCTTCAAAGAGGGTAATTATGATGATGTTAGTTATGAAAATTACACCACAAAACTGACAAATGTGTATGCATCTGAGCCTCACTGCTCAACCCCAAGGGAATATCACTTCAAGTGTCAACGCCCCTGTTTACATGAAATGGATTCAGCATTTTGGCATTAGCATTTATTTTAGCCCAAAGATAATAGTGTTAAATTGTTTTATTTTCTATTGTGTTATTTTGGAGGTTACTGACAGTTTTCAGTTAAATATAGATAAACAAAACACATTCAGAATAAACCTGCTCTTATGTATATAGGAGATACAATAGCTTCAAAAGCAAACATTTTAAACAATCAATGTTTTACTACATTAAACCCAATAAACAGGGGCTATTGAGTAGGTATTTCTATTTTGTTGCCCTTATGAAGATATTGTCTAAGAAGAATTACACATTTTAATTTTAAAATCTCAATTACATGTCACAATTAACTCTACGATTCAATTTTCTTATTACTTATTATTTTAACCAATATTCATGGGACTTATGGTATGTGACATTGTATGTGTTCATTAGTTTTACATTACTGGTTAGCTATTAAATATTACAGATCTTTTATAATATGCATGTATTTTAGGACTGCATTTTTTTTACTGGTTGAATATAATGGCATGGTAGATTTTTAGATAAATAGAAGTTTTGACAATTGAAAAAGGGGATCATTCTATAATCTCTTTAAGTTTATCTATAAATACTGATTCATCACAAGTAGCTCCAAGTAGCTATGCAATACCATTCAACTAAGAGTAAACAAATGCCCACATCTTGCTTCCGAAGAGTTTGGAATTTCCCATCAGTGATGTTATACATACATAGCATTTGTAGGATTCCTAAGTGCCCTCACAAGTCCCACTGATACTAACATAATACCATGAGATCAGCTTTATCTTCATTTTACAGACAATCAAATTGGCTTAAATTAGTCAAGGACACATAGCTAGTAATTGGGAATATGTGAATAAAACCTTGATAACCATCCAATAATACCATATTTTTTCTACACACTGCCTCTCTAAAAACAAGAGGATTGTGAATATGAAGTAAGAATTTTGATGCTAATTTTTAGTTGTGTGTAGTTTTCTTGTTTTCAGAAATAATGATTTGGACCAAATTTTGAAACAAAGTATAGTTATATTTAGTGACATTTAAAGGAAGAGATAAAAGAATCTCCTTTTGATGATTGTAAACTTCCAAGAGATATTTTGTGTTTAAAAATTATCATAATATTGACTTTACCCTTTCTATATTTTAGCAGTAGGCACCTGTGAACAAAAATATTTTTAAAATTCCATTTTTTCTTAAAGAAAGTTCTAAATCTTTAATGAGGGAGGCATTGTACATGTGTAAAGAGCACTATCCACATTTGATTGAGCATCAAAAAACAATTACACAGAAGAATTAAAATACAAAATCTTAAAATATATATATTTAAGGCAGTTTACATACATCCCCAAATGAATGAAATGCTTACATGTAAACAATAAATTAATAGAGTTAAGAAATATGAATCTATGTTTGCAATAATAGGAATCCCAGATGTTACAAAAAGATAGCCACATTAGACTACATACAGATTTAAAACTTTTGCATGATAAAAATTATGAACAATGAATTCTATAAGAAAACAATATATAGGGACAATATTTTCGCTTCAGGTAACAGATGAAGATTAATATTTATATAATACAGAAAGGACTTACAAATTGACAAGGAAAATTAAAAAAGTGAAAAAATGATAAAAGGTTATGAATAGACAGTTTACAGAGTGACCAAAATATATGAAATGGTGCTAAATTTTTCTATTAGCCTAGAAAATAAAATTTCAAATAACGAGATATTGTTTTTATACCACATGAGTCTGGAAGAAATAAACAAAATTATAACATGGACTGTTTTCAGAAGTGCAGAGCAAAAGGTACTCTTATTCAATACTCCTAGAAATGTGAAATTATTTTCAAAAGCAATTTTGTAAACCTCCTTTCAATTTCCACAGGCACATAAAACACACACTAACACACACACACATTCCTTTAAACCAAGACTCAACAGTTCTTGTCCTCAGAATATATCCCATCCAAATAAAATTACTGTAGTTCAGGAAGAAAACATGTCAAAACAAAGACCATGCCTATCAGTTGAAAAACCTGTGAGTTTTCTTTGCCATATATTAGCATATAACAATTTAAAGGAGTGAATTGGAGCTATACTTGCTCACCACTGCAGATAAATGTCATTGAGTAATGAAGACACAAGTAAATTGTATTTAGTATGATCTCACTTTTTAAGCAAAAAAATGGTGACATTACAAAACATGGCATGTGAATATATTAATATTAATACTTATGTGTAAACATACTAACATATATGGGTATAGGATTTTAGAAGTAAGGGCGCAGAGGAAAAATACTAGATTATTTACATGGAAAAGAGGGGGAGTATACAAAAAAAGCAAGAATATGTGATCGTATTTGTTTAAATTCAGAAAATAAATGGATACATAATTTGTGCATAGCAAATGCACTGGCAAACATGATACCTTATGCATACATATATACAATACTATTTGCATGTATTATGTGTGTATGTTATTCATTCATATTATATATTACATTAACTTATCTTTAAAAACAAAGTGTTATATCATAACTCGAAAATAATACTATACTTTGCCTTAAATTTTTCTTATTGGCCTATTACTCTCTAGCTATAAATTTTTAATTCCTAAAGATAGAAACTTTAATAAAAAAACACAAATCAGTATCCTTTTGGATATGAGTAATTTTAAAATCTGAAATACGCTTGACAGAATGTTTTTTGTAATTATAAAATAATTTTATATCTTAGTGTCTGTCCTATTTTCCTAATCACAACTTTTTACCTACTGACTAAATAGACAGTGAAATTTACATTCAACCCCTAATAATTTTCTTTTTTATTTTTGTAACCCCAACTAGCAAAAATGCATAAATAAGAAAAAACCTAGATACAACGTATAATTTGACATATTTGAAATATTATTACCATTATAATGAATGAGTTTATTACATGTGGTTAAAATCTCTGAAGCTGAATTTTAATTATTATCTCTGCATACTTGGAGAGGGAATGATTTTTTATTTTGTAATTTTTTAACTTGTGTAAATGGAGTATGTAAAAAAGACACGTGTAAATCAAAAAATAAATAAGTGATTTATGATATGTTATCATAGGTACAATAAGTAAGACTAGGTCCAATAATAAACTCTTAAGAATATATTGTTTTGTTTGTGCAGGGACAGAAAACCAAATATAGCATGTTCTCACTTTTAAGTGGGAGCTAAATGATGAGAACACATGGTCACAGAGAAGGGAGCAGCAAACACTGGGGCCCACTTGAAGGTGGGAGGAGGGTGAGGATCAGGAAAAATAACTAATGGGTACTAGGCTTAATATTTGGGTGATGAAATAATCTGTACAACAAACCCCCGTGATATGAGTTTACCTATATAACAAACCTGCACATGTACCCCCAAACCAAAAATAGGAGTTAAAAAAAGAATACACTCTTTTGTTTGAGAAGTCTCATAAACACGGGACATTTGAGATTGCATTCACATGGATGTGGTTTCAAAACTCCGCGAGAATTTCAGTTTTAGGTGTTCAGGGGGAGAAAGGCATTGTGATATAGCATGAAGAACAAGGAATTTCATCTCACTAAATTTCCCTTCTATCCCTGTGGGACCTTTGGTGAGTCAACCTCTTGTCTCTTAAGCGTAAAATAGGAATGATACTTCTTTCAGAGGCTTAATGATAAAAAATTAGGTGACATACTTGATAATTACTTTGTAAACATTAGAACAATACAGAAAAGTATGATTGTGATCCTCTCATACTTTTGTTTATATTTTTCCCAAATTCTCCACTTTCTTACATTTCTCTTAAAGCTATGCTTTACAGGATGCTTGTGTATGTATACTATAATATGAAGACATACACATTAGAAGACAGTCTTCATGAAACTTGCCTTGGCTTCAGAAATGAGTATATTTATTCAACTACTTTCCTGAAATCTGAACTTGCTAAGATAGAATCCAAAGCGTAACCATTTCAATATTAAAAATAAATGAATAAAAAATTACACCTTTTTTTCATTAAAAAAATCAATGAATATCCACAATGTTCTTTAAATTGGCTGCAACAATCACTATGAAGTGTTCTCATCATGAAATTATAGCTCCTTTTAAGATAGGTATGGATAGTTTGACAAACTAGTAAAGATGGATAGTTTGACAAACTAGTAAAAAGAGCAATAAAAACAGTTTGTAGACATGTCTTCATCTCCACCAGTCTACAGTGAGGTTGTGCAACGTTGAGCAATGCTCTTAGCTTGTGACAGTTCACTTCCTCACATGTGAAATGGAATTTGACCTACCCTTCCTTCCTGGTTTTATTCACATGGCACCTTTTCCAGAGTAAATATTTGTGAAGATGCTCTGCAAACAATAGAGTTTTTATTCCTAAATCTAATAGAGAATGGAAATAAATTTGTTGAATTCTCCCAGATTTTGTTCTGTTCTTACCTTTCTTCTGAACCATGTGCACCTTCTCTAACACATGTAACAGACCCTGAGAAAAATGCAGACCCGAATCTGAATCTGGCTCTGTCATTTGGCATCTGAATGATTTGGGCAAAGAGCTTAATCAGTATTATTTTTATTAGTATCCTCCTTAGCACCATCATAATGTCATTACCTTATTTTTAAGGTGTGCATCTATCTTGGAATATGTGCAAACATTTACTTGTCCTTTTTTTAATATGTTCTAAACATTTTGAAGGAGAGTTCATGTGTGATTGTAGGGTAGATGTTATAAAACCACAGAAACACATAGAAGGTATTGCGTAATAATTTTTTGTATAGTTTGTGAATTCAGTTTCATTAATTTGTTCTGTTTATATTATCTATGTAGTTCTTGTAATTTTATTTTATATGCTGTACCCTAAGTTTAATAGAAGCCACTGAAAAGAGTCCCTTGCTTACAGGAAAACTTTGGCATAAATATATTTTTGATAAATTATGTAATCATTTTCCATTGGTAATAAATATATCTATATATTTATAGTATTTTATCTAGCATTCTATTTTGATAATATCCTTTATTAATATCACCACCAAGCCTTATGAAATAAATGCATTATAAATAACTAAAAGGCTTTACAATCCAGTTGCTATTTGTGGTCAAACAAAACATATATATAAAATGCTGAATTCAACTGTAATAGTTCTTCACTCTTAATAGTTTTATAGATGGCTTTTGGCAGTTCTATCAAACACAGCTGCAGGGCTCTTTCAATTCAAAGGAACACTCATTTCTCTAAGAAATTGTACAGTAAGACCAGAGAAAGTCTCTATTTATAAAAATCTAAATGCTTGACATTTGTATACACTATAAAGGGTCTAGATGTCCAGATATATAATAAACAAATCAAAGCTATAGAAAATGTGTCCTCAACCTCTAAAATGGGTAAAACACCAGATAAAATAGTTTTTCACTTCATTTTATTTTCTATTTTTGATTTGTAACAAAAACTCAGAATATATTGAATATGTTTTCTAATTGTAAATGTTCTTCATAGAAATTGTAAAACAAGAAAATACTATCTGTCATTTAATGATAGAAATATTTCTAGCCTACTGATCATTTTTGATTTTGCTCCCAAATTCTTTATAGATTTAAACAATCACAATTTCAGGGTGTCACTATTAAATTCCTTATCTTTAAAAAGAACTGTTGCTGAACTATATCAAGTATAAAGCTTTATCAGAGTGGAGAAACGAAAGAGCACCCAATGTGGGGTGTGTGTGTGCGTGTGCATGTGTGTGCGTGTGCGTGTGTGTGTGTGTGCGTGTGTGTGTTTATGCATGTATGTGTGTATATATAAAATATATAAATAAATATTACAAAATTATAATGACCATATTTTTATTTTGTAAAAAATGCACAATTCTTTTAATTCATACTTACTATGAAGCTTTCAAATTAGAAACTAGCTCTTTATTTTTCATTAACTAACAAATAGATGTAAATTTTTTTGTGGTCCGTTAATCTCCTGAATATCTATTTGCAGTTTTTAAATTCATATGGTAAAATGATAGCAATCTTAGATTTGTATCTCATATATGTGACTCTAAAGTATTTATTTAATTAATTTATTAATTATATTAGTGTAATATTATTAGGCATTCTAAAATCTTTAAACAGAATTTACGTTGGTAAAAGCTTTCTTCACTTTGTATGTCATAAAATATATTTATTCCAAATACCCACAATAATTTATCCCCTTCAACTTTTATTGTTGTTCACCCAAAATAGTAACTATATGTTAAATACTATTCGTTACATATAGTTAAATAACTATATGCTTAATTACTATTCATCAACTGTTTCATTTTCTGGATATATTTTAAAAATAATCATCCCCAAATCATTAACTCTTTTCTGGCATTAATATTAACTGCAGTTTTCACCAAACAAATGTTTGATGTTCTATTCTATTCAAGTAATGCACAGGTGACTCACCCTATACATGTTGCTAAGTATAATATATATATAATAGAAATAGTTTCTTGACAAATATTGGCCTTACCCCTTTCTATTTTGTTCTTGTTGGATAAGTATCTTAGTTTTTCCACATAATTTAACATTGCTAAACCTCATTAAGAAAACATCGGCTTGTTCAAAATAGTATACTAGTCAAAGGAAAAAGATTCTTTGGCCAAAATAAATGCTTAATTTTCCCCCTACAGAAATATTGGAACTCAACCTCCTGCTTTTTAATTATTTTCAGGGTTCACCTTTTATTAAGCACATTTTACTCTTTGTTAATATTGGGGTAACATGAGAAAAATTTATGATGTCAATAATATTCAATGACCACAATAAGTTAATTAAATGATAGCATACATTATTATTAAAATCTGTTGATTTAAACACTTCCATGTATATATTGAAATAAATCATACTCTGACTGAGATATTTTTGTTATCATGAAACTAAAATTACTAAAATAGGAACATTCAAGGTATCAACAATTCAACTTCAGTAATAAGGAATCTGGGACAAATATAGTTCATATTACTACTTTTATCACTGCCTTTGTAAGTAGCAGAAAATAAAATTAGCCAAAGCAATAGCTTCAATTAATGTAAAGATACATTTTACTGATGCAAAATCTATTTCCTCATGATTTAATTTTCCAAATTGGAGAAAAACAAAATGACTACTTTTCTCATAACAAATAATTCTCAACTGAGTTTCCATGATGTATTTCGGCAGTACTTAATATTTAAGTTCACAGAATTCACCCTATTTCGTGAAAGCAATACATCACTGAATATTCATGTTATTCAGTGCAAGTATAATTTTTTTAAACTAAGTCTTTATGTTTCTTCTTCCCTAGAATACTTTATCCATCCATACCTGTTCATCTCTCCTCTACAACATAAGTTCCTCCATTAAGTAACGTTCAACCACCCCAGTCCACCATAATTCTTTCTTTGTATGATCTAATATAGCATTAATTTAATATTACCATTGGTAACCATTATTTGAAACTTAGAATGCCACTGTGTGTTACTGCAATCTTTTAAATGAAAAAAGCCAAATTATAAATATTATTTTGGATTTATAACAGGTTGCTATTTAAACATTGTTTCACAATATATGATGAGCATGTGTATGTATATATTAATGCATAGAGCCTATGCATATGTTCTACCAAATATATATATATATATATATATATATAAACGTATATTTGTGTTAATACATTTTCATATAGACAACAGGGAAGGATCCATAGATAAACTATTATAGTTAATGAGTTTTATAAAAGTTGCTGGGTGCAAAGTAAACACATACAATCAACTGCATATATGCACACGAGGAACGAGTGTGAAAACAATATAAAAATACCCATTATATGTATAATAAAAATTATACAGCAACGAGGGATAATGCTATCAGAGTGCATACAATCTAAATAAAGAAATAGAATGATCATATTCAGGGGTGGGAAGAGTCAATTATCTAAAAATAACTAACTCAAATTGACCAATGTAGTTAGTAAAATTAAATAAAAAAATCTTAGGTGAAATGTATCAAGTTAATCTTAAAATGCACATAGAAGTACAAGCAACAAAATAAACTCTTAAGAGTCAAACACTCTTAAAAAAGAACAAGGTATACAAATTTATTACAAAAATATGGAAATTATGGCTATACGTTGTTGACGTAAATATGGCCAAATGAATGCTATTAGTCTGTTCCCATGCTGCTAATAAAGACATATCTGAGACTGGGTAATTTATAAGGAAAGAGATTTAATGGATTCACAGTTTCATATGGCTGAGGAGGCCTCACATCATGGTGGGAGGTGAATAAGGGGCGAAGTCATTCTTACACGGCAGCAGGCAAAGAGCTGGTGCAGGGGAACTCCAATTTATAAAACCAACAAATCTCGTGAGACTTATTCACTACTTATCCACTGTTATGAGAACAGTATGGGGGAAACTAATGCCATGATTCAATTATCTACAGCTAGCCTTGCCCTTGAATCGTGGGGATTATTACAATTCAAGGTGAGATTTGAGTGGGGACACAGCCAAACCATATCACGAATTAATGAAATATATATAAGGGAACCCATAAACAGAACTCTACTTAAATGTGAAAGCCAAAAAAAAAAAAGAGATTTAAGAGAACTTGCTATAGCATCATAATAAGAATATTAATGAAGAAGACACAAAATGTACAAACCATAAAGAAAAGATGAATATTAAAATATATTCAACTTCATTGTAATCAGGAGAAATTATTTGCAACACAATGTCTCCAATGAATTAGAGCATAGACTATATAAAGAAATATCAATTCAGTAAAAACTTTAACTGGCTTTTCACAGAACAAAAAATATAAAGAATCAAAATCCTGAGAAAGGACAATTTAATTGATTAGTAACTAGCGAATTAAACTTTAAGCCACAATGGGTTAATATTTTATGCTCACCAAATGAAAAAAGTAATTTAAAAGTTTTAATATCAAGCGTTTGTGAGATGATAGGTCTAGGGGGATGTTTATACACTCCTAATTGAAGTGTAAATTTCTGCCACTAATTTATATGAGACATTAGATGTTTTTTTCTTTTTTTTTTTTCCTAAGCCATTTGGGTTTGGAATTTAGTTATATATAAGATAAATGTTACTGGTTGATGAAATATGATTATTCAAAATAATTTCTGGAATAATGCTTTTAAAATTAATTTGGAGATGTGATTTTGGGGTTTTTTTGTGTGTTTTTTGTTTGTGTGTTTGTTTGTTTAAACAACTCATTAAGTAACTGACAGTTGAGGAGCAGAACTCAAGGATACCTGGCCTCGACAAATAAGCTATAGTTAAGGTCTGGGAAAATGATCTAATCCGCATAAAAAGGGTGTATACGAAAAGATGAGAGATTCATGAATGGCCCCTAAACAAAAGGCAATATGAAGTTATCAGTGGAAGAATAAGTGCAAGGTAACAAAAGTAAGAAGTGAAGAGAGATAAAGAAAATCAGGAGGGAGAATCAAGAGAATGATGGGTCTCAGAAGTCAAGGAAGACTATTTGAATAAAATGAGAATTGAGGGTCCTGATAAAGATGCAATTTGAAAGAGAAAGAAATGTAAATCAAAGTTACATATAGAAGTTTTCAGTCACTTGGATCTAAAAAGTTATGATTTGCTTTTCTAAAATAATTCCATATTAAACCTTTATCTATCATATTTATCTCTCTCACTGTTTTCCTCACGACAGGACACAAAAGCTTCTCCATATAGCCATGGATAAAGGAAGCTTTCCAACCACCACTTAGGCGTTGTATGGAAAACACATGTTACTACCATACATGAAAAAAATTTAAAAATGTTACCATTCCTACTGTGTTTTCATATTGGATTATTAGGCTACATATTTGTACGTCCACATAAAATAAAGAAGGCATTGATTCTCTCTGCTTGACAATTGTTATAGTTATAGCCCTAGAAATCAGCAATTTCCAAAGAGATACTTACGTAGGTGAGAAAGCCAAATTCATTTTTTAAATCTAGAAATATTTTACTTGAAATGTTGCCATCTACATTTATTGTATAAATTACTAGGTAAATTGAGTATTGGGTTACACATTAAAAAAAAAGATATGGAAGATACTATTTCTATAACTGACTGGCTAGTTTGTTGATACCTCCATTTCTTCTAGACATTTAAAACAACTTTACTTAAATGTATTTATCTTGTCTCCCTCAACACACACTTTCCACACACATGTATACCTGGAGGCATTATCTTATGTTAGATCATTTTCTTAATTAACCAGACAGAGTAAAGATCACATCTCTTCTCTTATAGTAAATTATTTATAAACATTTATATCATTCAGATGGGGAGGAAGATGAGACAGCAAAATAAAACATATAAATAACCTGTTTTCTTTGAATTGCTTAGATGACTTTTGTTTCCAATATGCAGAGCTTTGAAGAACAACACAAAGGTGAATGGCAATCTATAACTCTGTCCCTAGAGAGATGTATCTGATTCATGGATATTGTGGCATCGGCAAAGTTATCATTATTTCTGATATTAATAAAATGTTAATTTTAGAAAGTAGCTATCAATAGTTTCTTTTCCCAAGTCTAATTGTTTTACCCTGGGGAAATCTATAACACTCAAAATAACCATATGAACAAATTTTAGTGCCTCAAATTCTGTTTCTTCAGACCACACTGTGCACATTAGAAAATTAGACATTTAAGAGATGTAAGGGAAATTAATTGTTCTACAGAATACAAAACTTGGACCCCAGAGAGAATAAGTGACTTGTAAATGATATCGTTCACTATTTAGTATCTGGGATATGATAATAACCAAAGATAACTGACCACATGATAGTACTTGCCACTATAACAAGTATAATCAGTCATCTATGGAAACATCGCCTTCCATAGATGACTGTTTCAACTACAAGAAAAATGTGAATCCCTGTGGAACAAAATCTATCTTAAACAAGTACATCAGAATTTAAGTGGAAAAAAAATTCAGCATGAATTTAAAATACAAAAGCAAATATCTTGCATTTCCTTAGATTTTTAATATTGCTACAGCTGATTTCATTAGAGTGGACACTACTGTCAAACATACCAAGAGGCTTTCCCAATGATATTTTAAATTTATCAGTGAATTAACAATTTATTACACCAAAGCATTTTTAAGATTTAATATCCTTCATGTATTTCCTGGTATTACATTGGGCATTAGACATTAATCAACACTCAATGAATTTATAATGTCAAGTAATGACTAAATGATTCCAACATTAAAGGAAGAACCTTGTTCTAAAGTGATCTCTGTTAAGTGCAATAGGCTTGTCATGCAGGCAGTGCTGAAGTAAGTTAATTGATTTTTGGAACACAGGAGATATCACTGGTTCTAGCTTTACCACCTAATTACTATATTATACCAAGACAATGCCAACATGTCTATTCAATTATGTTATCACAAAAATGCAAAATAGTGATTTGATGCCTATTGAGAACCTATTGAAGTGTCTATGCCTTCACTGAGAAGCAACTAATGATCCCAATGTGCTCTCACCCCAAAATTCCCTAAAGCAGAATAGAAATTAATATTTTCCTTATTATATAACAAAAAAGCTCAAACAACTCTTCTCAGGATGTCTTGTCTACTATAAACTATCTAAATGTAGTGACAGTGAATAAAGAATGGCCTCTATTTGTGGATTATTATTTATGGAGCTACAGTTAATACTCAATATACTTGCAATGTTATTTTACCAACACTAAAGAAATTGTATTTATTTAAAAAGTTGAATAGGGAGAAAGTTCACTATACTAGAAGACTGTATAAATTCTTCCACTGAGGTTTAAATCTCAGGTATCAATATATTATATATATTAGATAAGTTTTTGTCTTAATTTCTCATTTGCAAAAAGAGAATCATAAAAATCTCTACATTGGAATATTTGGATTTCAAATAACATACCCTTTTTAAAAACCTAGAATATGTCCGGTATATAGTTTGTGCTCAATAATCTACTGTATTTATTACATGAGTTAAATCTGTGAGCACTTCTGGTTGATATATTTTCCCTTTGTTTCCAAAATACATTAATTTGTTCAATGGTCACAGCTATTAAATGTCTAATCTGTGTCTGTATAGTACTAAGCACTTATGCCTGTCATCAAGGCCTTGCCACAACAGTTTTTAGGTCATTGAAATGTAGCAGGGCTTCAAAATCTCCTTAAGCTGATAGGCAACTTCAGCAAAGTCTCAGGATACAAAATCAATGTGCAAAAATCACAAGCATTCTTATACACCAATAACAGACAAACAGAGAGCCAAATCATGAGTGAACTCCCATTCACAATTGCTTCAAAGAGAATAAAATACCTAGGAATCCAACTTACAAGGGACATGAAAGACCTCTTCAAGGAGAACTACAAACCACTGCTCAACGAAATAAAAGAGGATGCGAACAAATGGAAGAACATTCCATGCTCATGGGTAGGAAGAATCAATATCATGAAAATGGCCATACTGCCCAAGGTAATTTATAGACTCAATGCCATCCCCATCAAGCTACAAATGACTTTCTTCGCAGAATTGGAAAAAAACTACTTTCAAGTTCATATGGAACCAAAAAAGAGCCGACATTGCCAAGTCAATCCTAAGTCAAAAGAACAAAGCTGGAGGCATCACGCTACCTGACTTCAAACTATACTACAAGGCTATAGTAACCAAAACAGCATGGTACTGGTACCAAAACAGAGATACAGACCAATGGAACAGAACTGAGCCCTCAGAAATAATGCCGCATATCTACAACCATCTGATCTTTGACAAACCTGACAAAAACAAGAAATGGGGAAAGGATTCCCTATTTAATACATGGTGCTGGGAAAACTGGCTAGCCATATGTAAAAAGCTGAAACTGGATCCCTTCCTTACATTTCTTATACAAAAATTAATTCAAGATGGATTAAAAACTTAAATGTTAGACCTAAAACCATAAAAATCCTAGAAGAAAACCTAGGCAATACCATTCAGGACATAGGCATGGGCAAGGACTTCATGTCTAAAACACCAAAAGCAATGGCAACAAAAGCCAAAATTGACAAATGGGATCTAATTAAACTAAAGAGCTTCTGCACAGCAAAAGAAACTACCATCAGAGTGAACAGGCCACCTACAGAAAGGGAGAAAAGTTTTGCAATCTAGTCATCTGACAAAGGGCTAATATCCAGAATCTACAATGAACTCCAACAAATTTACAAGAAAAAAACAAACAACCCCATCAAAAAGTGGGCAAAGGATATGAACAGACACTTCTCAAAAGAAGACATTTACGCACCCAAAAGACACATGAAAAAATGCTCATCATCACTGGCCATCAGAGAAATGCAAATCAAAACCACAATGAGATACCATCTCACACCAGTTAGAATGGTGATCATTAAAACGTCAGGAAACAACAGGTGCTGGAGAAGATGTGGAGAAATAGGAACACTTTTACACTGTTGGTGGGACTGTGAATTAGTTCAGCTACTGTGGTAGTCAGTGTGGCGATTCCTCAGGGATCTAGAACTGGAAATACCATTTGACCCAGCCATCCCATTACTGGGTATATACCCAAAGGATTATAAATCATGCTGCTATAAAGACACTTGCACACATATGTTTATTGCGGCACTATTCACAATAGCAAAGACTTGGAACCAACCCAAATGTCCAACAATGATAGACTGGATTAAGAAAATGTGGCACATATACACCATGGAATACCATGCAGCCATAAAAAATGATGAGTTCATGTCCTTTGTAGGGACATGGATGAAGCTGGAAACCATCATTCTCAGCAAACTATCACAAGGACAAAAAACCAAACACCACATGTTCTCACTGATAGGTGGGAATTGAACCATGAGAACACATGGACACAGGAAGGGGAACATCACACACCAGGGCCTGTTGTGGGATGGGGGAAAGGGGGAGGGATAGCATTAGGAGATATACCTAATGTTAAATGACGAGTTAATGGGTGCAACACAACAACATGGCACATGTATACATATGTAACTAACCTGCACGTTGTGCACATGTACCCTAAAACTTAAAGTATAATAATAATAATAATAATAATAAAAGAAATGTAGCAGGGCTTACAAAGGCTGTATATTTTATCTGAAATGAAGGAAGGGAAGCAATTAGATAAAGTCTGTGTATATGGTACATCAGACTTTGGAGTAGAGTCTTTACATGAATCATGCTCTTTACTTCTTCCAAAAATCAGTTTTACATACGAAGAAATTCAGTTCAGAAAATTAAAACAAATTATATCTTTAAATGGAGAGAGAATAAAAATGTGTATCTTAATTTCTAAATCTATACTTAAATCTTCCTCCTACTCTTAACATTCATTGTAATAGTCAATGCTAATAACTCCAGAAAATTATCCCAAGAAGTTTTGAACAAATGTTCTGTATTCTAAAACAGGGCCAGACACACAGAAAATTCTACATAGATGTTTGATTATACTATTAAGTTATGTCATTTTGACTTTCTGACGTTCACTTTTCAGTAAAGCTATAAACTTCTGTCAATATTAATCCTTAATGAAAGTAGCATTTTAAAGGTTTCAGCCAAAGTTAGGTTGCAAATCAAAAATTATATGGATTAATATTTTGTGATTAATCCTTTGGCTCTAATTTTAAGCTGTAGCTTTATAGATCTTTTTTGTATCATATGCATAAAGAGACTAGCCTATGATTAGTAATGATTCTTGCTTTGTCAATATTGTTTTTGTTCCTGTGATACTTAATTTCACAGTCTGAATTTTGTTTATGGTCAGAGACGAATCAGTCAGTTTGCAAAATAAAAAGATTTGGATGGTTTGTCTTTCTTAGCATTTCTATGCTAAGCCTCATTTCATAAAGATATTTTGAAATACAGTGATTTCACACTCGAGTTTACTATTTGGCAGCTGCTGGAATATACTGCCATAATCATCCTGCACATAGCCTTTGGAGGTATTTATATGGACAATCATAGCTTCAATTTTGGTATGATAGCTGCAACCTAGGAACTTGTGACCTGTATAACTTGCGCTGAAATTCTATTTAACGATGGCTCCTGCCTCATGACAATATAAATCCGTACCTACCATTAATCTGTAAACCTCTGGTACTGAGGCCAACTTGATCACACAGTTAGTATGCCAATTTTCCAGGGTCTGCTGGCTCACAGTCATTGCCTGCACTGCCTTTGCCAGTTATTATATAATCAGATGAAATAATGTGTGGGTAGTGTAATTCAGATCACTTTAATGTTTATAATGATGATGAATAACTCTAGTTCTTACAGCGTTACCTGATTTGGCTAACAATGCAAAATGCGTTCATTAGATAACAACTACCTCTCCAGTTAAATTTGTGACATGTGAAGATATGTTTCAGATCTCATTTTTCATAATAAGTAAAATAAAGTAAATTAATATTTAACCAAATTGTTGAAACATCACACACAATTAATTTGGGCTCAACTAACCAAGTTTATGAGTATAAGATGTCATAAGTTCATGTCACTGCTTGTAACATAACTCAAGGAAACAACATAGTCCCATTCAGATCCCTTAGATCAGTGGGTTCTCAATGGTGATGATTTTGTCTTCCAGGAAATATTTGGCAGTATCTGAAGACATTTTTGATTGTCACAACTTGAGGGACGCTACTGTCATCTAGTTAATAGAGGTCTGGAATATTGCTAAACATATTGTGATACGCAAGACAGTCCCGTACATCCCCTACAACAAAGATTTATCTGGCCCCAAATGTCAATAGTGCTGAAAGTGACAATGCCAGCGTTAGATGACAGAAACATGTACTTCAAGTAATGTCCTTCCGTGGGATATAGTCAGAGTAGTGTAAAGCTGTTTTCTGGTCTCTACTGTCCATAGCATATATAAATGTTTATGCAATGAGCCAGGCACTGTGGCTCACGCCTGTAATTTCAGCACTTTGGGAGGCCGAGGCAGGTGGATTACTTGAGGTCAGGAGTTCAAGATCAGCCTGGCCAACATGGTGAAACCCCGTCTCTAATAAAAATACAAAAAAAATTAGCCGGGCATGGAGGCAGTGCTTGTAATCCCTGTTACTTGGGAGGCGGAGTCAGGAGAATTGCTTGAACCTGGGAGGCAGAGGTTGCAGTGAGCCAAGATGGTGCCATTGCACTCCAACCTGGGCAACAAGAAGTGAAACTTTGTCTCAAGAAAAAATAATAGTAATAATAAGTTTATGCAAAGAAAATCAAAACTATAGAAATATAGAAAGGGACATAAATGCAGTTATATCTCCAGTTTACAGGTATTACTTACTTTTGTACCAGAATTAATTGTTGCTAGACACATTCAAAGAACGACCATCAGTAAAAATATACCTAAGCACTTTGAATTTAAGCATACATGTGAAGCAATAAAGAGTGTGTGCAGTTTGACAGTGATATGAATAATTTTTTGCATATGCCTCATTGTACTGAAATTATCACAAAAACATTACTTTGATAACTAATCTTGCAAGTATATTTTGGTTAAAAGCAGAACTTCAATGAACGTTTCACGGGAGTTTAATTTCAGATTCACAATTAATAATTCAATCAATATTTGCTGAATGTAACGTAGTAACTCAATACTATCCTTTCATTCTTCTAAAAGCCTGTGTTGAGTATAAATAAACCCAGTCCACAGGAAGGAATAGGAGAGAGGTACTTGAGTGGAATTCCTCCAAGACCTATTGAGTCACCATGTGGTGAAAATTCTCAAATTGGTATTTGCCTAAGAATCACTTAAGAGTACTTTTTGCAGATTCATATGCCTAAGCACCAAAAAGTCTGATTTTGCATGTATGTAGTAGGACTCAGTAGCAGGCATTTTAAAACCTTTCTGGTGATCTCATGCAGGGGATTTCAGAAGGTACATTCTGAAGGACTGCCTTAAGTTTGTAGTTCACTGAGTATAACTCGAAGTCAACAACAGATTAAACTTGTGAAAGAAAGAATAGAAAGAGTTATTACAGAGAGGTCATAAGCTTTAGAGACTGTAAAAAAAGGTCATTGTTAATTTATAATAATAATTCATTGGTTCAAGAAGTATTTATTCCAAACCAATTTTCTACAAGGAATGAGGTAGGCTCTGGGGTTACACCAATGAATAAAATAAAGGAAAATAGTTTACCCACATGAAGATTCCAACAAAAGTCTCCTGGAACTGATAAACAACTTCAGTAATGTTTCAGGATACAAAATCAATGTACAAAAATCAGCAGCATTTCTATACATCAATGACACTCAAGCTTAGAGGCAAATTGAGAAAGCAATCCAATTTACAATAGCCACAAGAAATATCTAGGGATATATCTATCCAAGGTGAAAGATCTCTACGACGAGTACTATAAAACACTGCTAAAAGAAATAATAGGTGACACAAACAAATGGAAAAAACATTCTATGTTCATGGATTGGAAGAATCAATATCATTAAAATGGCCATACTGCCTAAAGCAATCTACAGATTCAATGATATTCCTATCAAACTACCAATTTCATTTTTCAAAGAACTAGAAAAATTATTCCTAAATTCATGTGAAAGCAAAAAAGAACCTGAATATCCAAAGTGACCCTTAGCAAAAAGAATACAGCTGGAGGCATCACATTGCCGAATTTCAAAGAATACTGTAAAGCTTCAGTACCTAGAGCAGCCTGGTACTGGCAAAAGAAAAAAAGGCATACAGACCAATAGAACAGCATAGACAACCCAGAAATAAAGCCTGGCACCCACAGCAAACTGATCTCCAAAAAAAAAAAAAAAAAATAAGCAATAGGGAAAGGACTTCCTATTGAATAAAAGATACTGGGATAGCTGGAAACTATATGCAGAAGAATAAAACTGGAACCCCGCCTTTCACCATATACAAAAATTAAGTCAAGATAGATTAAATATTTAAGTGTAAGACCTAAAACTATACATATCCTAGAAGAAAATCTTAGGAAATGCCATTCTGAACATCAGCCTTGGAAAACAATTTTTGGCTCAGTCCCAAGAGCAACTGCAACAAAAACTACAATTGACAAGTAAGGCCTAATTAAAACAAAGAGCTTCTTCTGCACAGCAAAAGAAACAATCAATAGAGTAAATAGATGACCTACAGAATGGAAGAAAATATTCACAAACTCCACATCCAATATAGTTCTAATATCCAGAACCTATAAGTAACATAATTAAACTGACAAAACCCAAATAATCCCATTAAAAAATGGGCAAAAGACAAAAGAAGTCATATAAGTGATCAACAAATATAAGAAAAAATGTTCCATATCACTAATTATCAGAGCAATGCAAATCAAAACCACAATGAGATGCCTCTCACACCAGTCAGAATGGCTGTTATTAAAAAGTCAAAAAACAACAAATGCTTGTGAGCCTGCAAATAAGGAATGCTTATACACTGTTGTGAGAACGTAAATTAGTTCAGCCACTATGGAAAGCAGTTTGGAGATTTCTCAAAGAACTAAAAAGAGAACTACCATTTAAGCCAGGAATCCCATTACTGGGTGTATATCCAAAAGAATAAAAATCATTCTGCCATAAAGTCATGTACTCTCAGGTTCATCACAGCACTGTCCACCATAGGAAAGACCTGGAATCAACCTAGATGCCCACTTATAGTAAGTTGGATAAAGAAAACATGGTACATATACACCATGGAATACTATAAAGCCATGAAAAAGAACAAGATCATGTCCTTTTCAGCAACATGAATGGAGCTGGAGGCCATTATCCTAGGCAAATTAATGCAGGGACAGAAAACAAAGTACTTCATATTCTCACTTAGAAGCTGGAGCTAAACATTCAATATTTATGGACATAAAGATGACAGTAAGAGAAACCAGGTACTACCAGAGTTGGGAGGAAAAGAGGAGGGCAAGAACTGAAAAACTATCGTGTACTATGCTTAGTACCTGTGTGACAGAATCTTTTGTATCTCAAACCTCAGCGACATGCAGTGTACCTAGGTAACAAACCTGAATATGTATCCTCCGAACATAAAATAAAAGTTGAAAGAAAAAAAAAGTTTGCCCTAATGGAGCTTACATTCTTGTGGCAGGAGACAGACAATAAATTACTAACAGGGAAGAATATTTAATAGTTGTCTTAATGTAAATACTTTAACATGACTTGTAAGTAGACTCTTGAATGAAAAAACAGATTTAAGAATTTCTTTTTCTTCAATATGTTTCTTCCTCACACACCTCCCACAGACCTATTATTCTACCAATCAAATATTGAAATACTAATTGATACCAAATTAATGAGCCCAATGTTTTTCTTTGAAGCAATAGCATATTTCACACTCCAGGTGATTTATTTTTTTGCTACCAATAACTAGAAGTAACTTCTTGGCAAATCCTTCTGCCATGTTTTGTTTTCCATTTGTGAAAATATATTATATACATTTTATTTTGAATGGATTTAAATCTCCATAATAAAATGGCATTTACCATCATAATTAAATTTTTTGTGGTTTACTATAGTGTTACCACTTTGTCATCTAACAATATAATTTTTAAAAGTTCACTAATTGAAATGATAAAGATAAATTGTGTGTGTGTGTATGTATGTGTGTGTGCTGTATTCCTCCATCATCAAAGACACATATATTGGAGGACTATGTAAGGATTATAAACAACAAAGCAAATTTAACTGCAGTATCTTGAAAACACCAGAATGCAAAGTTTAAATCTATTTATTTACTACAGACTTTCTTGGAGCTTTTGATACATAACTGTGAATTGTGATCTTCAAGGAGATGATCAAATAAGCTGTGTTACCTGTCAACTTATTCAGCAACAAATTATTTTTATAGACGTAATAAAAGGAACATATGATTAAGGACACAGGGAAAAATGAAAACTGATTTTAAAAACGGACAGCCAATGTTTAAAAAAATCTATCAATCTGTCTACCTACCTACACACACATATATGTATATGTAACCTTATAACTAATGGTCTACACTTCACTGAGAGTAAAGTGTTAATTAGAAATACTTGCTCTCTGCTTTGAGTTGAAATTTAGTGATTTTGGTGCTCACACTTCCACCTAAGAAAGAATATATTTTCAGATCAGTTCCTAATCATTGAGTGAGTCACATCTCCGAAGAGAACACAACAAAGTTCTCACCACCAAAGCACTAGAAAGAATGGAATCAAAAAAAAAAAAAAAAAAAAACCAACAATCAAATGAAGGAGTGTCACAATAGAAAATGCCAAGTCATTTGTTAGCAACTCTGCAAATATTGCCTGGCATTTTACGGACAGTATTGGAAGGAGTACACATCCAAGGAAATAAATTGCTAAGGATGCATGCATGGAGATTCTCTAAGTAGACATATTGTAAAGATGGAGAGTAATATTAAAAGACTGGGCTGAAACAAAGAAAGATTAATTCTACTACAGACAGGTTATAATTACAAAATAAAAATACCTTCTATAAGATTATTCATTGAATCTCGAATTGTGTGTATTTATACACTGACATGTCCCAGAAAAGATTTAGAGTAATTACTAACTTAAGAACATTTCTGACTTGTATATCTTACATTTATTATTCTATATTGCACAGGTTGTTTTTCAGTAGTGACGCATGTTAAAACCCTGACATTAACACAGTCTGTGTGTTTGGTTTTACGGGGCAGACGCTATCATGAAAGAAATCTAAATCCAAATAGAATCTTTGCCCTTTGTCACACTGATCAAGGATTTTGTTTTCTTTTATCAGTTTGTTTGTTTGTATTTGTTTTAGACAGAACTGAGGATCAATATCATAATTTTCATTCTTAATTTTATGTTTTATCCAGGGTTCAGCATTGGAATTCATAAGAAAAATGATAAAAACTTCTAAAAAGGTTTAGGGATCCAAAAGTTGCAAGACCCCAGAAATTTTTTTCATAATAAGCTGGTAAAGGCGGAGGAAGATGAAGGGGAGAGAGAGGAGGAAGAGGCAGAAAAGACTTGTTTCAGTTCCCTCTGTGTAGGCAGTCAGGCCAGAGATAGCCCTGAAAGCTTTCCATATGTTGTGGAAAAAACACAAATGTTTTCTTCTGTGGCCAAGAGCAGCTTGGACGTGGCAAAACAAGCTGATGGACCTGATTTTGTAGATAGAGTGAGGAGAATACAGATATAGCCGGTATCCTGCATGAACAGATAATGCCCGTTCTCTACTTTTTCCTACTGTTCACTCTCCCTTGCACACACTGAATAGATTTTTTCTCATTATTTCCTCTTAATTTCGTCCCCACACTTTTAGGATCAAAATCCTATGAAATTTAAAGGCAACCCCAGGCAAAAGCCAAAAGAGGAAAACCTCCCCCAATTATTCAATACCAAGTTTTCACCATGTAAAAGACTAGGAATCTGAGATAGTAATAGACAATGATAAAGACAATTACATTAAATGTCAACTTTAATTTGTGGCCTAAAATGAAAACTTACCACACTTATATTGATGTGCATCTGGAACAAGGGCTACTTAAACAATATTCCAATTAGGAATTACATAAAAATATTAAAAGAGGACTACTCGCTTTTTAAATTTTTTTTTTTTTTTTTTTTGAGACGGAGTCTCGCTCTGTCGCCCAGGCTGGAGCACAGTGGCGCTATCTCGGCTCACTGCAAGCTCCGCCTCCCGGGTTCCCGCCATTCTCCTGCCTCAGCCTCCCGAGTAGCTGGGACTACAGGCGCCCGCCACCACGCCCGGCTAAATTTTTTTGTATTTTTAGTAGAGACGGGGTTTCACCGTGTTACCCAGGATGGTCTCGATCTGCTGACCTCGTGATCCGCCCGCCTCGGCCTCCCAAAGTGCTGGGATTACAGGCGTGAGCCACCGCGCCCGGCCTTATGTGACTTTTTGAGACTTCTAGTTCCATCCTGGTTTTCATAAGTGATGAATCTGTACAGGAGGTCTACAGAAAGATATGAGTGTTTTCCTACTCACAGTTGGAAAGCTACAGTTAGTTTACAGAATCACCCTCCCCTAGTAATTTTCCGTCCTTCAACAATTTTAAAAGCAATTCATATGGAAAAACAGAGGTCGCCTAATATGTGGGAGACATTATGACTCTATCAAAAAATGTTCCATTAACTTAGATTCGAGACTAAACTTTTAAAACCATTGATCCATAATGAAAACATACTTGCATACACATATTATCACTCAAAACTCAGACATGGAAACTAGAAAATAATTTAAAACTATTTCAGTTGATAATTAAACTTGGCTAAATCTCAATTTAATTTCTACTCTTAGAATATAATCAGAAGCTAATCTTTATACTTTTTCAGCTCCATTAGTTTGAGTACTTATAGTCTTACATCTCAATTGGAAAATATTTTATTTAAAAAATTACCTATTCTTATTCATCAGTTATGTGATCAAACATTTTGTACAATTAATTTTTACAGTACTGTTTACAATGAATGAAAAATTGAAAATAAGCCAAATGAGGAGGAAAACAGAGAAATAAACTACTACATAAACCTGTAAAAAAAGTCATAGAGTCAAAAAGTTATATCTAGGAATTAGTTACAGGTAGTTTTTATTTATTTCTTATAACTTTTCTACATTTGCCAAATTTTCTTCAGTCACAATGATTATGATAAATTATTTTCCTATCAATATATTTTTGCATCTATGAATTTTTATTTATCTTAGTATTGTTTCAACTGGTTTAATCATTGTAAACCATCTATTTGATAATTGCATAAAGTTCATCTGAGATGCAGATCATGCACTTGTATGTAGATAGAATACATTTATGATCAATTTTACCATTTCCAAGAAACATGCTATTCTTGGAGGAGAACTTAGTGAAAATTTTGACAAAAAATATTTTAGCATACTAACAAGATAGCTAGATTTCTTATTCACAAACTGTTTTCTTGCCAAGTTAGGCAATGTTCCAAAATCATAATGCTTCCAAACTGTATGATGTTATTATGAAATTTTTACTTAACGAAGCCATAATGAATTTCTCAAACTAAGTTGTTTCAAAAAATTTCTTAAATTACAACTATATGAGAGTTCCTGAAGTGGTGTGTAAGACCCAGCAATGATAGATGATTCTGGGATATCATTTAAGAATGAATCTGGTAATTGAAATTGTGTAGGTTCAGATTGCATTTTATGCCAATCGATTCTCTCTAATTTAAAAATCAAGGTCAAACGCCCCATGTTTTTTATATAAACCAATCACTTTCTAAAGTGTCTTATTAACTCCATTATAGGCATTAAGCCAAATTGACTTTTGCTTCTAGATGCAATTCTGGAAAAAATTTAACAAATTGTTCCTTTTTATTAACCCCATGTGCATTATTCTACTTTGATGGATATGTAATATGATTTATCCCATTTTTAAAAAGATGCAGTGCTTTCTTTCCCTAATATATATTGCTATATGATTTCTGTATACAAATTACTTTAGAGGACATTATATTCAACTTACAGGAAAAATATGTTACAAAGAATTTGCAGCTTTGTTAGATTATTTTACAATAGCGCTCTGTTATATAGCATAGCAGTTTAGGAAAAATGCACCAGGAACAATACAAAAAGTAAACAAAATAGTGAATAAAATCATTTTCATTGACTTTTTCCTGGCCTTTGGTTTGTAGATAGTAACCAATAATGAGATAAAATGCAAGAGTAAAGTAAGAGCAATTATTTTTGCTTATAAAAATTGGACCCATAATTATTAAATCAAAGAATTAAAACATAAAATTATCTCTATAGTTTTGTTTTTATTTTTAAATTTTTGATTGAAGTATCTGGCACATACTAGGCATTTTATAAATGCCTTTTTTTTTTCTTTTTGAGACAGAGTCTTGTTTTGTCATCAGGCTGGGGTGCGGTGGCACGATCTCAGCTCACTGCAACCTCCGCCTCCCGGGTTCAAACGATTCCCCTGCCTCAGCCTCCTGAGTACCTGGGACTACAGGTGTGTGCCACCATGCCAGGCTAATTTTTCATATTTTAGTAGAGACAGGGTTCCACTATGTTGGCCGGGATGGTCTAGATCTCCTCACTTCGTGATGCGCCCACCTCGGCTTCCCACAGTGTCGGGATTACAGGCCTGAGCCACCATGCCTGGCCTATAAATACTTATTAAATGACTAAGTAAATAGGTGAATGGATAATAAAACTAATAAATTAGAGATAGAGCTTCTATTTTCTGCAAGATAAAGGATTCCTATCTTGCAATAACATCAATCTTACACAGTGTTAACATACTGAAGATTATTACACAAAATGAAGGCAATTTTAATCATGCCAACAGAACAAAGAATGAACAAAAGAAAATATAAAAAAAGAGTAGATATATATTTTTCAATGTTTTGCGTGTAGTAATATTGCCTGTTGAAAATAACAAATTAAAAAACTCCTAAAAATTACACTGAATTAAACATGAAATCATTTAGAATAAAGAACATACAAATAAACAAAACTTTTCTATATCACTAATAACCAAGTAGAAATATTGTGATAATACATAAGAAAAAAAAGAAAAATTTAAATCACAGGAACAAACTCAATAAACATATAAATTATGCAGAAAATTAAAATACATTGTAGGAATATAAGATATTATTGGAATAAGTATACAAAGCAAATGCACTGGGCAGACTCCGAGAGCAAACTGAATGAAGACCAAGGAAAACTTGACAATGACTCTAAATTTCATCTGATGAAATATGCAAATAAAACTGTTAAGAAAATACTTATAAAAATAGTGAGCAGTTACTTCGATCGTATGTAATTTGTTTGCAAAGGTGGTTGCAATAATTCTCTCCATGCTTATCAGAACAACATTCTGCCTTATGACTTGGCCACTCTTCTAATCCTCACAAAAATTATATGAGAAAAATATTATAACTATCTGCATTTTACCAATGAGAAGTATAAGCATTGAGGAAGATACTTTTTCTTAGATTATAAATTTAGTAAACAGTTGAAGCAGATTTTGAGCCCCATTTAATTCAGACTCTCTCTCTCTCTGTGTGTGTGTGTGTGTGTGTGTGTGTGTTTGTGTGTGAGTGTGTGTAGAATGTTTGCTAAGATTTGTGAATATTATTAAAATTAAGCTGAAAAATATTATTTAAAATAACACAAGGCTAGTAGCTCTGCATATCTTCATTGTTTTTGGCATTTCATCTGATAAAACTTATCTATACATTGGTACTTATCCTTCCTAGAGAGAGGGAACATTCAAGGAGATAAGGAAGGAAGAAAAGCTGTAGTGGAAAGAAAAGTTCCAGTATCCCCCATATTTAAATTACTAAACCAAGTTAACTCAATCATTTTGGAGATTTTTATCTCAATTATGAGTGGTATACCGGGAAATATTATTGCACAATGCTTGGTACTCCATGATTACTGAGAATATATTTGGCCAAGGTCAAAGTCTTTTTCTGTTTAGATTATTATTGTTTTTAGATTAGAAGTATATTGACAATGAAGCATACCTGTGAAGTTTCTACTGCCCATTTTAACTCTCAGTAGTTTCAATTTTTTATTATTATTTTTAAGAATACCACGTCCATGACGTGAAGTCCTATTTTGGTTCACTGCAGAAGCCAGCTTCCAGGTTCCTTGCCTTCCTCATGAAAGGATAAAACCCAATCCTAATTTGATTTTCTGCTAAAACACAGGAATCCAAACTTTATTCAAGAAAATTCTGCTGGCATTCCAGACAATTGCCACTGTCAGTTAAGTATTCCTCATAGGACATTTTGCAAATTCAGTAGAAACAAAATCTACTAAGTGAATATAATTCCAAGGAAAAGAAATCCAACTAACTTTTCAAATATTTTAAAATATTCTCAGATCTAACCAAATCTGGATAAAATAAGGTACTCAGACTATATTATATTGATGACTGCTATAAGAAATAGCCCTATTTAACTCATAGTTATACCTATTGTAAGGATATTATCTAAGACACTTTTCACTATGATTACAGAGCCATCTGTAAAATAATTCAAAAATACTTGAATAGCTCTAATTTTCCTGGGAACATGGTGATTCTTTATGTTTTTAATCTTAGGGATGCTAAACTATGTATCTCATATTTTTTCTTTCATCTCAGCAATTAGATGAATTGCATTTAAATTTGAAGCTCATGAATAGGTCCCAAAGTATACATGTAAGGATAAAGTATAATGTTTAGCTTTAAGTGTGATTGCTATATAAAAGCAAATAAAGACATATCCTTATTTTTTCTTGCTTTTATTTTTTATTCTTCATCTCCATTTTAGTATATAGTAAAATATAATTTGTTATGTGCTATCTTCAGCTTCCTAATCTCCCCCACTCCCCAAAGAACATACAAGATTGATTGAATGAACAAATTATCTTCCAAAGGTGAATGTTAATGTCTGCTTATGAGTACAAATTAAGTGTAATTACCAATATAATTTTAAGCCACTTGATTTCCAAAAAAAGAAAAAGGGTAGGTTTCATTTCCTCCTTTGTGTTATAAAAAGGCCTGCCTCAAACAGTCATTAGCCATTTCATCCTGGTTTCTCAATTGACTTTGTAAATACCTCTAGATCAGAGACTATGCCATGCATCTCTTTGTTTCCTCAGTAGTAGACACAGCAAGCTGAATAGTTTTTCACAACTGTTTTTATTGGTGATGATGATGCTTATTGACATAATGATATCTGTGTCAGTTGAGTCTATTTACCAAGTGATTGTTTCTTAGGCACAAGGTTATTATTTATTTACTTTTATTATTTATTAATTATCATTGTTATTTAAAATTTACATTATTATTTATTTTTAAATAAATATCTACATTAGAAATACATAATAAATAATGACTCAAACTGATTATTTATTAGGCACATAAGTAGTGGAGATGAAATAACTGACTTGGATCATGCCTTCTAAGGTAATTCAAGAGTGAGGGAGGAGATATACTCACAAAACAAATTATTTCAATGGTATGATATGTACAGTGATAGAGGTATACATATCAGATTATGGGTGAAATTACATAATAGAACTTAATAAAAGTAACAAATTCTGCAGTGCCTGTAAATAGTTAACAGTTGTTTACTGAACATCTCCTATGTGTGCACATAATGCTAAGATCTACGAATAGAGCGTTGAGGAAGACAGAATCCTTTATTTTGGCCCTCCTTCTGTCTTCATGTATTTTAAACATATTCCCTCTCTTTTCTTAATCTCTTTGCCTTCCTTCTTCCCATTGTCTTCATCCCCCGTCCCCGTCCAACACACTCTTCCCAGCCTCTGATAACTATCATTCTCACTCTCTAGTTCCATGATATTGGCAATTTTTATTTGTAAATCTACATGAAAAAGAATATCTCAAAGTTCACAAATTCATTCAGGTTAATCCATTTCTTGCAAACCAAGAAAACATTCAGAAATGTAGATTAAATTTACGTGTCAGGATTTGCAATGCAATTCTCTTTATAGTTTCCATTTCTATGTGTTGGGAACATTTCACATCCTCTCTTTGAGCTGTATTTCTATAGCAAATGTTAAAACAAATTATTATTTATTTATTTATTTATTTATTTGAGATGGAGTCTAGCTCTGCTGCTCAATCTGGAGTGCAGTGGTGCGATCTCCGCTCACTGCAAGCTCCGCCTTCCGGGTTCACACCATTCTCCTGCCTCAGCCTCCCAAGTAGCTGGGACCACAGGTGCCTGCCACCATGCCCGACTAATTTTTTGTATTTTTAGTAGAGATGGGTTTCACCGGGTCAGCCAGGATGGTCTCCATCTCCTGACCTCGTGATCCACCCACCTCGGCCTCCCAAAGTGCTGGGATTACAGGCGTGAGCCACCGCATCCGGCCTAAAACAAATTATTTAATACACATACGATTAAAATTTAAATGTATATTTTATTCACAACACCATTTTACTAATTGATCATGACCCAACTCAATATTTTGTCTATTAACTCTGGGCACATTATACAGAATACAAGAATCAAGAAACGTCACCATATATAAACAAAGAATATTATTATTTGACGATATCTGAAACATCATTCTACAATTTATACCAGTATGTTATTTGTACCTGTGTGCCTCCTAAATCACTCAATAACACCCCAGTATTTCCACACATAATATGCTTTTGAAAATGTTTTCATTTATTAGTTGTTGTTGTTGTTTCAAATTGGAAGTCCCTTGTTATGGGATTTTCACTGGCTACAAGAAAGTTAAGAGAAAAAGCAACTTTATATGAAATCACTGAATAATTATTCCTTAGCACCAAGTGAATGGCATATTTATCTGGGTTTGAGAAGTCTTATCTAGGATAATTCAATTCAGCTGTGACAAAGCACTATAAAGGACTTTTGTTTATGCTGTTTGAAATTAAATGCAGCCATGTAGCCTGAGGGAAAGAAGCCTTGAAGGCCCGCTACAGGTAAGCAAAACAAAACATTGACTTGAAGATGATTCTTCAGGAACTATTTTTCTACTAACCTCTCCTCGGCTGAACAAAGCATTCTGCATTTGTGCACCCATAAAATATGCTAGTTCCTATTTCTTTAAAGGTTCACATTGTCTTCATTTTATATGTTTAACATATTCTTTATTCCCTTATCATAGAAACAAAAATTGACACAAAGTAGAAGCTCGGTTTTTGATGAATTCAATTGGGAAATCATGTAGGGAATAACAGAAATATAAGAGACAAGCCAAAGTTATTAGATCATAGAGATAAGTATACGTTAATTTCAGTTCATCCCAGATTAGCACTCTGACATTTTGGCAGTTACCAATTACTAATTGAAATTATAAAATATTTATATCCCTCATTAACTTAAAATAGTTTAAGATCCAGGGCAATCAGGCAAGAGAAAGAAATAAAGGGCATTCGAATAGGAAGACAGGAAGTCAAATTGTCTTTGTTTGCAGAAGACATGATACAATATCTAGAAAACTCCATTCAACTAAACCCAAAAGCTTCTTAAGATGACAAGCAACTTCAGCAAAGTCTCAGGATACAAAATCAATGTGGAAAAATGACAGGCATTCCTATACACCAACAACAGGTAAGCAGAGAGGCAAATCATGAATGAATTCCAATTCACAATTACTGCAAAGAGAATAAAATACCTACTAATACAGCTAATAAAGGAAGTGATAGGACCTCTTCAAGGTGAACTACAAACCACTGCTCAAGGAAATAAGAGAGGAAAGAAACAAATGAAAAAACATTCCACACTCATGGGTAGAAAAAATCAATATCATGAAAATGGCTGTACAGCCCAAAATAATTTATAGATTCAGTGCGATTCCCATTAAACGACCATTGACATTCTTCCCCAAATTAGAGAAAAACTATTTTAAAATTCATATGGAACCAACAAAGAGCCCGTATAGCCAAGACAATCCTAAGCAAAAAGAGCAAAGCTGGAGACATCATGCTTTCTGACCTCAAACTATACTACAAGGCTACAGTAACTAAAGCAGTATGGTAGTGGTACAAAGTCAGACACCTAGACCAATTTAACAAAATAGAGAACTCGGAAATAAGACCACACAACTACAACCAGCTGATCTTCGACAAACCTGACAAAAACAAGCAATGAGGAAATGATTCCCTATTTAATAAATAGTGCTGGGAGAACTTACTAGCCATATGCAGAAAATTCAAATTGGACCCCTACCTCATACCTAATACAAAAATTAGCTAAAGATGGATTAAAGACTTAAATGTAAAACCCAAAATTATATAAACCCTAGAAGAAAATCTACGCAATACTAATCAGGACATAGGCACAGGCAAAGATTTCATGACAAAAATGTTAAAAGCAATTGCAACAAAACAAAAGTTGACAAATGGGATCTAGTTTAACTAAAGAGCTTCTGCACAGGAAATTAAACTATCATCAGAGTGAACAGACAACCTACAGAATGGGAGAAAATTTTTGCAATCTATCCATTGGACAAAGGTTTAATATCCTGAGTCTACAAGGGACTTCAACAAATTTACAAGAAAAAAACAAATAACCCCGTTAAAAAGTGGGCAAAGGACACGGACAGACATTTCTCAAAAATAGACGTTTATAGAGGCAACAAACATATTAAAAAATGCTCAACATCACTGATCATTAGAGAAATGCAAATCAAACCCAGAATGAGATACCATATCAGGCCAGTTAGAATGGTGATTATTAAAAAGTCAAGAAACAGCAGATGTTGGCTGAGGAGAAACAGGAACACTTTTACACAGTTGATGGGAATGCAAATTAGTTCAACCATTGTAGAAGACAGTGTGACAATTCCTCAAAGACCTAGAACCAGAAATACCATTTGACTAAGCAATTCCGTTACTGGGTATATACCCAAAGGAATATAAATTGTTCTATTATAAAGATACATGCATGCATATATTTATTGCAGTACTATTCAAAACAGAAAAGACATGGAATCAACCCAAATGCCCATCAATGATAGACTGGATAAACAAATATGGCACATATATACCATGATATATTATGCAGCCATAAAAAGAAACAAAATCCTATCTGTTGTAGTGACATGGATGGAGCTGGAAGCCACTATCCTCAGCAAACTAACTCAGGAACACAAAACCAAACACCACACGTTTTCACTTATAAGTGGGAACTAAACAATGAGAACACGTGGACGTAGGGAGGAGAACAAACACTGGGGCTTGTCAGGGGGTGGGAGAGAGAGGATCAGAAATAATGGCTAATGCATGCTGGGGCTTAATACCTATGTGATGGTTTGATAGGTGCAGTAAACCACCATGGCACACGTTTATCTGTGTAACAAACCTGCACATCCTGCACTTGTACCCCGGAACTTAAAATAAAATCGTATAAGATTAAAAAGAAAGAGAATATGTTTACACACTGATAGGCTATTGCAGTCTCAAAAAGTTTATAATTATTCATCTGCTTTAAATTGATATGACAAAACCTTTTATGTATGGTCACTGAGGTGTTGCTCTGCTTCTTCCTAAAGCTCTTCATTAAAGGTTAAACAAATAAAAACACAGCAAATAAGCAAACTTGGTTAGTCAGAAGTCCCAAAAAACATAATTTATTTCCATTTAAAACATGGAAAATATGTAAATTTGTCATTTTTCCCAAAATCAGTTGAATTCCCCTCAAAAATCAAAAGGTCAGATTTCATGATTGCTATCTAAATCTGTATCTATATATACACACTTTTATTTATTTCCCAAAAAATGCTTTCGTCATTTTTGTTGTTATATCTTGTTATCATTGGAGCAAGCATGACTGGGGACCTGCCAGAGAAACAATATGTAGTCTTTCTAATTATATAAAAAATATATTTTATTGTAAAATGACCATTCCCATTGGGAGAAAATGGCTTCTAATCTCTTTTAAGTATCGAATTTTAACAATAGAAGAATCATTGTATGTAAGTTTTATTCCAGACAGAAATCAATCACACAAGAAAAAGAATCTTGGAAAATTCCAATGGAAGCATATCATTTATTTGCATTAAAAAATGTACCTCTTTTTCTAAAAATTGTGGAGCTTAATATTATGAGGAAGTTTTCTTATTTTTCCATTAATGTGCAATATATATATTGCACATTATATTTATATGCATACTAGACAGATAGATAGACAGATACTCTTTTTTAAAGAAAAGCAAACCATGTTGACAGAAGTAGCACAGTGACCATTAAGACTATTAAGGCCAGAAAGTTCATTTGCTTTAGTTAAGCTGACACTAGCCTGAAACTGTTCTTATACAAAGTCTTGGTAAATGTTTCCTATTTTAGAAACATGAATTCTTTCAAGGTGCCTCTGGGGGAAGGCCCTTCAAGCTTTTGTGATTTCCTCTAAATGTTTAAAATCACGCTCTCCTTATGTGTTCTGAGTAACAATTACGGCTTCTTTCCTGGAAATAAACTGTGTTTTACTCTTTCTTTCCCTTTTATTGACCTCCTGCTGTGTCCTTTTTTTTTTTTTTGTCTAAAATTGTGATTTAGTTTTATCATTCAAGTGGTAAAACTAATGATTTTTAGTTCCTATTTCAAACTTCACGACTGAGGTAAAGAGACTACCAATTAAGTAAGGCAATAAAAAAAGCTATTCAGCATTTTACAGCAATCATTTATATACAAAACACCTGTATAGCTTAGAAAAGTGACTTAAAGACCATATTTTATTAATTTAACATGTGTTCCAGTAAGAGCGATTTAAGCCACATTGAATGCACATTAGTAATACTATGTATTTTTTATTTAGAATTTAGCACTGAGTACAGTATGTGGATAAAAAATTCAATGTTAAATTATGAAAAATTTTTATGAGTTCATTTACTCAATATAACACATTAAAATGTCATGTGAAATTGGATAAGTAATGGTAGGACAAGTTGCTCACTTCATACGTGGAAGAACGACAAATTAACATGTATAGTATAATACTAATAATGCAAAAAATACATACAATCCATAGAAATATGTGTAGAAAAAATTGGAAAATGATTTCCAAATGGTATCATTAGAAACTTTATAAATGTATGTAAAATATACAAGCAAGGATAAAATATAAAGGCAAAACAATCATAAAGAAATAAAACCAGTACTGTGAAATATATACAGTATTAACGAATGCACAGCACAAAATGCCATCATTAAAAAGTCTGAAATATTTTTGCCATAAATGTGAGAAAGAGTTAATGTATATAATTAAGTAGTGATATATGATTAGCTCTCATAAGATAATCAAAATACCAGTATTAAAAACAAAACAATTTAAATAGCATATGAACTTAGGAAAAAATCTCTAACTTCAAAGAAATATAAAAAAAGAATAATATTTAAAATTAGTAAAGACTGTATTGTCATAAAGGCTATTTTTTAACTTTTTAATTGACACATGATATTTATACATTTAGGGGTACATGTAACATTTTGTTACACACACAGACTGTGTAATGATCGATTCAAGGTATTTAGGGTATCTATCATCTGGAGTATTTATCCTTTCTATATGCTGCGAACATTTCAAGTCCTTGCTTCCAGCTATTTTTAAATATACAATACATTGCTATTAACCATCACCCTGCTCTGCTATTAAACATTAGAACTTATTTCTTCTAACTGTATTTTTGTACCTGTTAACCAATCTTTCTTTGTGTGCTAAACTCCTCTCACACAGACGCTTGCCAGCCTCTAGTATCTATCATTCTACTATCATTCTACTCTCTACCTGCATCCACTCTCTACCTGCATAAATCAACTTTTGGATAAGGAAGTTCACATTAGGAACTTATATTAATACATCTATATAAAATAATATCTCAAAAGTTCACATATTCATACAGGTAAATCCATTTCTTGGGAACCAGTAAAACAATCAGAAATGTAGATTATGGTTATGTGTCAGAATATATAACGTAATTCTCTTTACAGTTTCAAAAAAAAAGTGAAAATATCCAACAACTGGGCAACAGATCAAGCGATGGTACAATACATAGTAAAATGTCACATAAGAATTAATGTTACATTACCAAAATGTTTAATGATGTGGGAAAATATCCACTTTGTATACTGAGATAAAATTTCAATAGTGCGTATAAATCAATATAGATACATACTCACGTATATTTAAGTGTAACTACATCATAAATCTATAAGCTAAATAAAAAAGACAATAAAACATTAGTATCACATATCCCTGAATTGAAAAATTATATATTGTTCCTCTTGCTGTATATTTTTCTGTGTTTCCTAAGTTTTCTGCAATTTATATAGCTGGAAGAAAAGTACCTTTTTAAAATTCAAATAATCTTGAATTCAAACGATACATTTTATATTAAGCCCCTTCTTTATTATTGATAACGCATTGAAGCACAAGGACAAAAGAGTTTTCCTCATGTTAAAGAATTTTTAAAACAAAGAGTATATAAAATTGTTCAGAAATAGTTTTGTTTTCCTTTATCAGCATGTTGAAATGATTAACTTACCTAGACGTAAATGAATTTCTATTACCAAATCACTAGTAATTCTTTTGAGTTGAAGAGTTTTTAGCTTTGTTTCTAACATAATTTCCTCTACACGATAAATTGAGGCCATATAGTGCAAACAATTTTATTAGGCTTATCATAATTTTTCTTTCTTTTTTTTTTTTTGAGACAGATTCTCGCTCTGTCCCCCAGGCTGGAGTGCAGTGGTGCCATCTCAGCTAACTGCAATCTTTGCCTCCTGGGTTCAAGTGATTCTCCTGCTTCAGCCTCCTGAGTAGCTGGGATTACAGGCAAGCGCCACCACACCTGGCTAATTTTTTGTATTTTTAGTACAGACGGGGTTTCACCATGCTACCCAGGATGGCCTTGATCTCCTGACCTCGTGATCCACCCACCTCGGCCTCCCAAAGTGCTGGGATTATAGGCAGGAGCCACTGCGTGTGGCCACCTTATCATAATTTTAAGAGCTGTTTTGCAGTAAGAGAACTAACATCTCTTGAATTATTCTCCACTACTATGTGAATGATACTGTGATAATTATTTTAAATTTGTCGTACTGTGAAATCCTTATGGGATTTATACGTAGATATTTTAACATTATCTGTATACGAGGTAACTAATGATCAAGAAAGTTACTAGCTCACCTAATAATATCACACAGCTAGAAAAGGTATGTTAGCATGGAGCTCTGTTTTGTACGAATTTTAATTGAATTCAACAAAAAAATCTATTGAGCACCCTTAGCATGTATCAAATAATATAAGAAACAGAAAGTGAGTAGATTGGAACACACCTTATACAGGTGATCTTTGCCTATTAGGAACTTATTATTTAGAGGGAGAAGAAATAGTCCTACCAGTCACAAGGTAGATTTTTCTATAGTGAAGATACTACATATGTTTTATGGAATCATAGTGGAGTTTAATTGTGATTTCAAAACAAGACTTCATGATGAATATGGCCTGTTATCGAGGTACAGTTGGTAGGGAGGCTTTCTGCCTAGATATGTAAGGGAAAGACAGTACAAATGAGGTCAGGTACAGAGCCAGAAGATACGAAGCGCAAGGTAATTGCACAGTTGATTGGTAAGAATGTGCACTGACTTGAATATCATTCAAAGTCACCTGTTTGTACAGGAAAGTAGATTTGACCTGTATTTTTAAACTATGTTGAATTAATAAATATTTGGTGCCACATCTATAGTCCACAAATGTATACGAAAATATGTGAAGGGGGATCCTAAAGACCCTCACGTTAGTGTCTCTTAGTTTGCTAGCACCCTCTTACATTTCACATTTAAGACTAAAATTCTTTCATAGATTAACTGTAATTCATTTCTAGTTACTTTGCCAGAGCCTAAGGCCCTTTTAAGAGATATAGCCATATTTTAAAACCACTTAAGACATTCTACCCATGATTTTTCCAGTCAAATATCATGATCTCTTAAATTTGCTTAATAGTTTGTAAGTCATTCTAAAATATACTTATTTGTACGATGACTTCAAATGATTTTATGTACCTTAGTAAAATGATTATCAACTCTAGCACTAAGTGGTCTTTTTTGATACTTCCTCATTTATTATGAGTCAAAATAAATCTCTTCCATGAATTTATGACATTACATGTTTAACTGTAGAACAAAGACTTTGCATCCTTATCCATTTGGACATTTGAAATATGTGTTATGAAATAAAATAAACAGAACAAAATGTTTTCATCAAAAGAATGTACCAAAATGTCTATATCAATGCTATATTTCATCTATATTTTCAACCATGTATATAAAAGAAAAATATCATTAAATTGCATTTAGAGAGCATTAATTAATGACAAAAGTAACTATAGCTTCATCAGAACACCACATCAACACTGTATGATCATTGTTATGCAGATTTGGTAGTGAGAATTTAAGGAGTGCCCCCAAAGATTTTAAGTCCTGGTCAGTCAAAAGCACAGTTAGTTGGAATGTTTGGTGCCTATCCAACAGATAGGCGGATTTCTCATGATAGAATGTAATGATTATCTAAGGGATTATTAAGCAAAGCCCATCTACTGAATCAGTAGGGAATTGGTTCTGCTGCGTGAAAAATTATGTTGTAAAATAAAGAAACAAACACAAAAAGGCCAATAAGGAAACAAACAGAAAAAGGCCAATAAAGAAACAAACACAAAAAGGCAATAGCCTTTCCAGCGGTAACCATGCTTTCTTTCACTCTTCTCTCGCAGGCCTATAGCGCCCTGTTGCTATAGGCTTCACATTGTCACACGGAGGGCCACGATCTCATCCTGCCTCATTTTCTGCCTACCTTTCTATTCCAACTCAGGTTCTTCTGCCGATTACTCTTCATCTCCTTAATCCATACATTTGTAACACCTCTTTCATTTTTTATTTGTGCTCGTTCTCTTTAAAATGTCATCTAGTCTCATTTTTGTAAATGTCATTTCTAATAAAACTTTTAAAATATATATTGTCCAACTCTAGTCCTTCTCTCAATTCCAAACTTAATTTCCTTCTAACTTCAAGACGTCTCTCTTTGGAAAAGCTACTGCTAGTCCCTCCAAAATTAATCCTCTAAAATGTCCAAACTGGGTCTTAAAGTCATTCCTGTTGCTGAAAGTTGTGAGTCCACCTTCCAGTTTTTCAAAATAAATACATGGGAATCATCCCAGACCCAAGGGATGGGTTGTTATGTTTCTGCATTGATCAGTCATCAGATGTGGGTTACCTTGAAAAGAAAATGCAGGAGGCTGAGACAGGAGAAGCACTTGAATCTGGGAGGTGGAGGTTGCACCCAGCCGAGATCACGGCACTGAACTCCAGCTTGGGTGACAGAGCAAGACTGTCTCAAAAAAAAAAAAAAAAAAAATGCAACCTTGGGAGACGAGACTCTTTAATCTGGAAGATAGCTAGCTGTTAGTCATGATCATTCTCACCAGCTGGCACAATGAGTGATTCCATCTTTAAAGTAATGACGCCCGTGCTACACCTCAATGCATTCATTACAGATACCATCTTGAAGCAACTGAAAATTTTGTGTGAAGTGTCACTTAAGTTACTTCAGTTATTTCCACTGAAATAAGTGGTTATTATGTTGAAGTTCTGATCTTATTTTTGCTATTCATAGGTAGCTACTTGGAAGTTTACTTGTGCTACCATATAATAAATACAGGATGCAAACAGTAGTGGCAATGCTGAAATCTCCCTAAGATAATAATTGCTTACATTGCATGCACTTGTCATTTGCATAATGCTGGTATAACATCGAAATACGTAAAAAGAAAAATAGAAATATAGTTCTGTTTTTTGACTTCTAGAAAGAGTGTTTCAGAAGCTCTCTCAGCTAAATTATGGAATAAAATGTAAAATATTTCACATTTCTATTACATTATCTGCAGTCCTTCTATCGGGCATTTATTGCATTATCTTAAAGTATTGTTCCAATTGTGATGGGTGCATTGAACTGTGTTCTCTGTAGTTAGCTTTTTGTTAGGAATGCTGAAGTTTCCTTCTTTTTCTCTATTTGGAATTAAGAGTGTATGCGGAGAAGAAACATTTATATGGACCACAAGGAATGAGTATACTTGGACAACAATGTCCTATAATGAATGGTTAAGGGAACTGGAAATATTTACCTGGAGAACTGAACATCCAGAGAGGACATAAAGAGGTCCTCCAAATATTTGAGGAGCTTGCACATGGCAGCAGAATTTAGAATGAATATAATTGTTTTTATGTGATGAAGCTATAAATGAGAGGAAGCTTTAGAGGGTAGATTTTCACCTGTGAGAAAGAACTTTGTGGTGATTACTGTTTTCAGACAATGGAATGAGTTCCTGGAATAATGGGGACTTCTATGTAATTAGAGCCTCTCAAGTATAAGACAGATTATTTTGTTGGAATGATGCAAACAGGGCTCAAGCATTGCTTAAGATAACGTTAACTTTTCACACCTATGATTCTGTGATTCTACTTAAAACTCCTTGTACTTTTCTTTTTACAAAAGATAAGTGAATTTGAAGCGCAGTTTATTACTACTGACTTTAGGAAAAAGAGAGAGAAAGAAATAGAAAACACAATTGATTAGAACCCTACTATTTTTCAAATTTTAAGAAATAAGTATATTTTGGTTCAAAATGAATCCAAAGATAATTTTATATTGATGTTAGCACAAAGTAAGAACTACGTCATCATTTATTGAACTGTTTTACCTAAATAACTTAATGTGGATGAGTTAAGATTATTTAGACCCATTATCCTCTGCTACTGACATAATAGCTGTGAAGAAGAATCCATGTTTTTTCTCTGATGTACACAGATAGGTAGGACAGGATAGAACAGAATAGGATAGGATAATATAGGGTAGGATGAAGTGTGTGGGCAGAGAGGGCTTTGCTATCGACAAGGTCTGGTCCCTAATTACATGCAAAGTGTACCATGGTAGGCACTGCATCTGATTTGCTAGTAGATTCAAGCCCACTCCTCTCTCATTTGGAAAAGAAAAGATGAAGGCATTGGAAGCTGCAGCAGAGATTTAGAGGGCCATGATCACTATTGATACTCCTGAGGGAAAGTGTACGTTGACCAAGAGGGAATAGAATCATTTTTGTGTGTTCACGGTTATACATCTAATAAATAGATCTTATTGGTGCCTAGTATTAAAGAACACTTAAATCAATCAAAACAGTTATTAAGAATGGCGACTAGACAAGGAAGAATACAAATAAACTTGAAATACACTTTAAATAATTGACTTGAAACACAGAAGTAATTTTTCCACAGAAACTTTATATCCTGCATTACGATTCAAATTAATTATAATTTAAATAACAAATCCAGAAATGTGGGCCATAAATTTAATACAAATTGTCTGAGTACTGACATGTTTCACTTTGAATTGGTATGAAAAATGCAATGGTTTATAAATGAAAAATGCTATGCTGCTTTGACTTATAAATGTAATAAATAACATCTCATTTTATTTACCTTTTGAAAATGTTCATAAGGTTGATTTGAAAATTCTATTTTAATCATATGTAAAATTGGGACCATACATATATAAACCATCTGAGCAATTTCCATATCAAAGAAAGTTTAGTGAGTTTTTTGACACTATTACATTTTTTTCTCTTGGGTTAATTCATGAGTTAATACATTTTTCCTGTCCCCCCAACCCCCATTCTTCCTTCCTTTATCCTTCCTTCCCTACTTCCTTCCTTTTATATTGTATTTATCTATATGTATAAACATTTTCTTATGTTTTATTGCACAATTTTCATGTTTGTATCGATGGATATAATCTATATGTCTATAAATTTTAGACTTAATTTATATTAATTACATACATTCATTACACATTTATAAAATGCAAATATTTTAGCAAGCAACATAAAAAACCAAGCAATAGGTATTTTTTGTTGCTTTAGTCTAAATTTTTGTAAATCTAAATACATGTGACATCAGTAAGCAAATACATGAGGATGAATTAGTCTAAAAGACAAGTTACTGAAGACAAAAAAAGTATGTGTATCTTTTTATCACTTACATAAATCTGCTTACATAGCAGTGTTTTAAAATTGCTGTCCAATTGTTTCCTGGTCATATATTCCAGTAGATGAAAGTAAAAGTAAGAGAAATATTGATAATAAAAATGTGAATCTTGTGCTGTATATATGTGTATTTTATAGCCACAAATAGAATGAGAGCTTTTACTAAATTTATTTCCCAGAATTCCTTAATTGTTTACGAAGTGTTTGTATATGTTAGTTCAAAATTACTCCTCTGAGTAAATTAATACAAAAGGCATGAGTATTTGGAGATCATTATAGGTAATTATTATTATTTTGTTTTTCAACTTATAGAATGTACTCCAACGTAAACCATACTCCTGGGACACAGAAAGTTAAAAAGGCTATGATTATTAATTTTAATACAACAGTTAAAAAGTGGCATATCTATTAACATTTTTTTCCATCAGGGGAATAAACTGAAAATCTGTTCTTGTATGAATTCATGTGACATTTATGTCACCCTGGAGACCCAAAACCAGGTTCAGATAACTGTAACATTATGTGTAAATCTATTTTACTTTTCCAATTTTTAAACAAGAAACAAATCATAATATCAGAGGTATTCTGTAGTAAGCTAAAGTATAGGACTTTAAAGGAAAATAATTTTTCATCTGTTACCTGTGTCTCTGAGATAGCCTGAGAAAATCCAATTATTTCCTCAGATTAATTCTCCATTGTCAATTACATGAATTAGAAATATATTAAATCCTTTCAAAGTCAAATTAAAATTATTAAAAAATATAGAGTGATTCATAAATGAATAAAAATTATCAAAGTTATACTTGTTTGAATTCTAGACTTACAGTGACAGGGAGTTTAATAATGAAAATCTCCTAATTGTTAATTGGTTTGTGTTTAACCCTCTGGATCTTAATTCTGAATCCTGCAATAGCTCTCTATCTCACTCAGAGAAGAACATTTCCAACAAATTGAATCATTCCTCTACTTGCTGAATCTTTTACAGTATCTGTAAATTGTATAAATTTCAGGACAAGTGGGGCAATTCCAGAAATGGTTTTCTTCTGCTTCTGCATTGGACAACCCACTTAGTAGACTAAAAAGCTGATTTTTTTTTTAAATCATTGTTTTCATAAGGTGAAAATTTAGAATTATTTGAGTGGCTTACATTTATACTTTTGTATTGCGTCAGGTTGATTTGTATGGGTTAAGAGAACACAACACAATATTTTCTGTGTGTAGTGTCTCCAAAGCATTAATCTGGCCCTCCTAGTCAGACCTTTTGATTTGTGCCACTTCAAAATCCAAAAGTAAAATTATATAAGTTCCTTTTGAACTTAAGTGTGCTCTTTTGGTGTCAGCTGGAAAAATGCAAGTAAAAGTAATGGATTTTTAAAAATATAACTTTTGTAATGACTTTCCTCTATTTCATGGAAAATCGTGATTTTTGATCTTGCATTTATTTAATTGTGGTTTTTAATTTATTGGTATAGTATATTTCAGGCAAGGAGTATCATGCATTTAAGAGACCATGGCTATTTGTAAATATAAAATTGTTTTCCTACATCGTAATTCATAGTTCCTTGTGGCAGTAATATTTATGTAAGCAAATAATCAAAAGTAGTATAAACTTAATTTTTATTTCTAAAGAGAGAAAAGAAAAGTCAGTGTTTTTATTTTTAACATCTGTATTACAATGGCAAAGCACAGGAACTTAGGAAATGGCCAGTTAATAAAAATCATGTTTTATTTCAAGTTAGCAAGTGTTAGTGACCTGTAATTATATGTAATTGTGAAGACTTTCATAACAAAATGTGTTCTAATAATAGAAATCCAGTGTAAACGAGCTTAGAAATGGAGAAGAACTTATTGGGAGAATGTTGCATTATCATGCATAATTGCAACGTGGCTGATCCAACAAAACTGGAAAGGACAGGAATGAGTGTCTGGAACAAGTTGCATGAAGATCTATGTATTGCCATTTTCTCTGTGTTCCTATCTCTGAATGATTCCAAATGAGCCCAAAGTTTTAGACCCAGTCTCTTTGAGGAGCAAAGTTTCTATTTACAGAAATACAGAAGCCTGCAGAAGAAGCTATTTCAATAAGGCAGAGATGAGAAATTAAGCATGATATTTAAGACTTTTTGATTTTATAATCATCTCTCATCTCGATTCCTGCCGTAATCTACAAACTGGTCTCCTTGCTTCTATCCTTTCCCCATACCCTCTACCCTCATAGTACATTCTCACATTATGGCTAGTGAAATTCTTTAAAATCTAAGACAGACCATGTCAGTTTTCTGCTCAAAATCCTGCAATAGTTTTTTTTTTTTTTAATCTTACTCAAAGTAAGACAAAAAAGTCTTTGCCATGGTCTACAAGTGCTGAAAGATGTATGTGGCTCTCCATCACCTCTAAACCTCATCTCTGATATCATTCTATAAACACCAATACCAGCTGTACTAGCTTCCTTATGTTTTGTAGAATAAGAATACTCCTAACTTAAGGCCTCTGTATGGTTCTCAGCTCTGCCTAGGATGGCTTTCCTCCAGATAGATTCATAGGCAAAATTACTCACCTTATCCACCTCCTTGCTCACAATTATCTGCTTGAGAAGTCTATCCCAATTAAGAAATCACCCCTATGGCCAGAATTTCTAAGCCTCTTTAGCAATCTTTACTTTTTCTCTTACTTTTGGCTTTATTACCTTTATATAGTATACTATTTAATATTTAGTATGTAAATCTTTCATTAGAATATACTTCCAGAATGTTAATATTTGCAAACTGTAAGCTCTGAAGGGCCCACTTATCTGTTCATTATTGTATCCCAAATGCCTAGAATAGTATCAGTCACTTAGTAAATATTTGTTGAATATATAAATAAATGTTAAGCCCCTCTATTAGTGAGGATTTGGTTTCATTGCAATGAATGGTAAATTAACAAAGGCAATAATAAGATGGGTGTTATTTTTATTTCATATTAAAGCAGTCCAGGGGCTTACCAGTATCAAAATCTAAGCGTCTTCTATCTTTTTGTACTGATTTCCTCAATGTATGGCTTCTACTAAGAGATTCTAAATGGCTCCTACCTTCATAATCTAAGCATCAGAACAGGGAAAGCGGTCAAAGAAATGCACATCTCCTACATTTAAGGCAAATCCTAGAAGTTCCATACACCAACTAACCTTACATTGTATTGTCCAGAATTAGTTACATTGCCACATAAAATACAAAAGAGGTTTGGAAATTCAGTTCTTATTCTATCAGGTCTTGTAACCAGCTGCAAATTCAGGGTTCTAGTACTACAGAAGAGTAAAATAGGTATTTGTGAACAGCTAGCTATCTTTATCCCAAAACCCAAATACATAATGGTGAGTAGGCAATTGGATATACCCCTGATTGCATAAAACTGCTTAGACAAGTGGTTGTCCTGGTTTACATGTGTTTTCTCAGAATAATTAATAATAATCCCCCATCTTCACATTCTAAAGTGTCCTCGTTTGGACAATAAATTACCCAGTCAACATACAGGACTTTAGGTCAGTGGAAAAACCTCGGCTGAAGGTGTGTTTCTAGAAATCAAGAACACATGTAGTATTTAAAGGCATGAAATAATATGAGTTGACCTAGAGGGTTGGTATATAGATGTAGAAAATAAGAGGTCCTGGAACTTGGCTCAAAAGTAACTTAAAATTTAGAGGTCAAAAGAGAATGAGGAGCCAGCAAAAAGGCAGAAAAGACAAACACATTAAGTCAAAGGAAAATCAAAGGGAAGTTGATGTCACAGAGTCCAAGGGAAGATAGTATTATAAATAGAACTACGAAAATAACCTTCATACACGAGGTGACATGAGAACAGATAATCCACCATTAGATTTGGCAAAGGAAGGATCATTGATCTTAACAGTAGCTACTGCTAGAACTACCACCATAAAACAGAAAAAAAGCAATTGGAGAAAATAAATGTAATCTTTTTGTGAAAAGTTTTACACTAAAAGGAAGCAAAGAAATAGGGAGTATCAAAACTTCTTTGTTTTTATTTTAAGCTAACGTTTATCTTAGCATGTTAATTATGCTAAAGAGAATGATTCAGTAAAATGTAAAAATGTATGATGCTTGGAAAGGAGGTAGCAATTATGGGATTGATGCCTTTGAGAAAGTGAGAGGGGATGCAATCTAGCAAATAAGCAGAAGGATTGGCCTTATGTAAAAGCCCATTTTTAAAAGAGAGAAAACCTACTAGATGAGTGGGTTGGTAGATTTAATGGTACAAGCATGTGAAAATTCTCTTCTTCTCTTCTATTTTCTCCTGAAATAAGTCACAGTAAGACACACTCAGCTGAGAGTGAGGAAGGAACATCAGGGCATGCAAATTTAAGTGGGAAAGACTTGTCTAACTCAGACCTTGCTACTCAAAGTGCATCTGAGGATCTATAGCATTGATGTCACCTGCGAGCATAAAGAAAAATGCATTATCCATATTGTTCTGTATAGTGGCTATACCAATTTACATCCTCACCAACAGTGTACAAGGATTCCTCTTTCTCCACACCCTTGCTCGTATTCATTCTTGCCTATCATATGGATACAAGTCAACTTAACTGAGGTGAGATGATATCTCATTATTGTTTTGATCAGCATTCTCTGATAATTAGTAATGTTGACAGTTTTTACATATAACTGTTGGCCATCTGTGTGTCTTCTTTTGATAAATGTCTTAAGACAGATCTTTTGCCGATATTTTACTCATATTATTTGTTTTTTTCCTATTGAGCTATTGAGTTCCTTATATACTTTGATTATTTATGTATTTATTTGAGATGGAGTCTTGCTTTGTTGCCCAGGCTGGAGTGCAGTGGTGCGATCTTGGCTCAGTGGAAACTCTGCCTCCCAGGTTCAAGTGATTCTCCTGCCTCAGCCTCCCGAGTAGCTGGGACTACAGGCACATGCCACACGTGGCTAATTTTTGTATGTTTAGTAGAGACGGAGTTTCACCATGTTGGTCAGGATGGTCTCGATTTCTTGACCTCACGATTTGCCTGCCTCGGCCTCCCAAAGTGCTGGGATTACAGGCATGAGTCACCGCGCCTGGCCGTATACTTTAATTATTAATCACCTATCAGATGGGTAGTTTGTAAATATTTTCTCCCTCTCTGTGGGTTGCCTCTTCACTTTGTTGACTATTTCCTTTCCTGAACTGAAGCTTTCTCTGATCCCATTTGTCCTTTTTTGCTTTGGTATCTTGTGTTTTTTGAAGTCTTATTCAGGAAATATTTGCCCAGACCAATGTCCTGGAGTGTTTCCCCAATGTTGTCTTCCAGTAGTTTCATAGTCTCAGGTCTTAGATTTAAGTATTTAATCCATATTAATTTTTATACATAGACAAAAATAAATAGGAGCTAGTTAAAGATATTATCCAGCGTATGATGGATTATATTATCCAGCATATGATAGATCATATGATCCAGCATTTCCACAGCTGGGTATATATCCAAAAGAAAAGCAACGAATGTATCTAAGAGATATCGGCACTCCCAGGCTTACTGTAGCACTATTCACAATAGTCAAGATATGGAATCAACCTAAGTGTCCATCAGTGGATGAATGGGTAAAGAAAATATGGCCTGTATAACACAATGAAATGTTATTCTACCCTAAAAAAGAATGAAATCCGGTCATTTGCAACAACACAGATAGAATTGGAGGCCTTTATGTTAAATACAATAAGCCAGACAAAGAAACACAAATATCACACGTTCTCACTTATATGTGGGAACTAAAAAATACTGGACTTATGAAGATAGAGAGTAGGATGATGGTTACTAAGGGCTGGGAAGGATAGTGGGGAAGAAGGGGTACAAAAATAACAGTTAGGTAGAATGAAGAATATCTACAACTCAATAGCATCATAGAGTGACTATAGTTAACAATAACTTATTGTACATTTTAAAATAACTAAAAGAATGATATTGCAGTGTTTCTGTAACAGATACATGATAAATGCTTGAGGTGATGGATACTGATTTGATCATTACACAGTGTGTTCCTGTATCAGAACATCACATGCACCGCATGAATATATACAACCATTATGCACTGACGATTAATAATAACAAAATTAAAAGTGAAAAAAATGCAGATGCTTAAGCATCTCACCAGATTTTCAGAACCTGCCTTTGAACAAGATCTCCCAGTGATTTCCATTCACATTACTTTTGAAAAGCACCAGTCTGAGAGAGTAGTAGAGCAAACTGATAAAGAAAATGTAGTACAATTCTCCAAATGACTAGCTGCCTTTCTGAGGTACTGATCATGATTTTAAAGGGAAATAGGTTTTCTGTTAGCCAACTTCAGTGAATATCCTAATTAAGATTTCCTGTTGGATATCTTTGAGACATTTCAAACTGAATTCCCAAACAAAATTTATTCCCCAGAATCTTTCTCATCTCAATAAATGGCACCACAATCCCCTCAGCTGCTCAAACCAAATATCATGGAGTCCTTATCGAGTCCTTTTAGCCTCTTCCAAATATACTCCAAGCCATTAGGAGGTCTTATGAACTTTACTACCCAAATTCTCCGAAATCTATTTGTTTCTTTGATCATTTCAGCTGTTATCCAAGCAAAACCTCTAATATCTTGTCCTGGATTATGTCAGCAGCCTCCTCATTGCTCTCTGTGTTTCCATGTTTGAAGCTCTATGGTGACTTTTCCACCTTCTAAGAGTGGTAAAAAACTAACTGGAACAAACTAAAATTTTAGTAGACCTAAAAACCATCTCAGCTGAGACATAATCACAGGAATGTGAGATGTTTTACACTGAGAAGATAAGCCTAAAATTGGAAGTATAGTTTAATTTCCATTCTCAAGTAATTGATGGGACAATGATCACTGTTATATTCTGGGTGCCAAGGAGCCACATACTTGGTTAGGCACTAGAAACCCATTATCTTCATTTTTTTTTTCTTTTTTAAAGGCACTTCATGATATGAAAATTAGACCTATGACCAAAAGAATGATACAAGAAAATCTTTCAGTCAGAGGAGTCTAATCATAGACTTACTTGAGAATAACTACTTGAGTATCACTTGAAATACTCAAGCATAATAAAGATGATGACTGGCAGAAATATTGTGGAGAGAATTTAAGCATCAGGAGGGTAGCTGAGTTGGATGATGATGAAAGTTTATGGTATCACTGGAATTCCTTGTTAAATGACTTATTGAAACCTAAATTTTTTTGTCAGTCTGAAGATTGAGTGAATTTACATTGAGAGTAATGTGTAAAACATTCTACAGTGTGGATAGGAAAAAAGTTTTCACCAGATTGGTTAAGAGCCATCAAATTACTAGGGAAGTGCAAAAGTGTCTGAAATTTCAAAAAGATCTGTCAATTGGGCCTTATTCTTCTGGTTAACATCTTAACAATGAAATTGAAGCTGGGAAGAAAATAAAAGGTCCTAAACAATAAATTTATTACACATATTAAAGGATTTGTCAAAGTTCACAGAGATAATAGGGTTACATTTTCTGGTAACTAGTCTAGGTAAAAACTCCATTATACTATACTGCTTTAGAACATTATATATATATATATTTATTTATATACATATATAATATATATATTTTTTGGTATCTTAATTTTCTGAAATTGCTTTGCACAGACTAGTCTGGTTTTTAAATCTAACTCCCAAAGTCTAGTCACACTTAAATGTGTTTTCCCTCAATTCCATGTTTTATCAGGACTCCGTGCATTTGAATAAGCTGGTTCCTTTGTCCAAACTACCATTTCCCCTTCTTCATCTGACTTCCAGTTAAGTTTTAGAGTTTGGATAAATCTGTACTTCCCCTGGGAAGCCTTTCTTTCATTGTCACTTTCAGGTGTGCTCCTATCCGTTGTCATACTTACTCTGTTAAGTAAGTGTAGCTTGTTTCATTGCCCATGCCTCTGCTCTAATAGCAGTAACTGCATTTTTTTATTCTCGCAATTGCTAATATCAAGTAGAGAAAATGACACATAGTATGATTCAAAAATTTTAGTTAAATACATTATCCATCTTTTTATCAACTTGAGTTCCCAAATTTGTTCTCAAAATAAAACACTGTACTTGTTTATTCTCAGCATGGTAGAAATATTCAAAAGAATATTTAGGATTATGTAAAAGATAGATCTCTGCCTCATATTTCAGCAAATAATCTTTGATTGAATAGATTCCAGCTGTTAGGCAGACAATAGCATAATCCAAAGGCTATCTTAGAAGTATGTAACAAACCAGATACACATGTCACCAAGGCAAGGGAAGTCACCTGAGACATTCTGTAATACTTTAATTTTGCTCTTTCCTAAACTACTATGGCTTTCCTGACTAAATAATGAAATTTAGCAATTTATTACATTCTGTTTTTATTGTTTTTAAGTTCTCCATGACTACAAGTCTACTCTCAACAAAATCAAAATTCTACAGAGGAAAGAGCCAACCCTCAGGAAATATATATGTGTATATATATATATATGTGTGTATATATACACACGTATATATGTATATACATATATGTGTATATATACACGTGTATATATGTATATACATATATGTGTATATATACACGTGTATATATGTATATACATATATACATATATACACATATATAATATTTTATATATGTATATATTTATATATTTTATATATGTATATATTATATATGTTATATATATTATATGTATATATATTTTATATATATGTATATATGTATACATATAGAAAAAAATATATATATATACACACACATATATATATATAATTTTTTTTGAGATGGAGTCTCACTCTGTCGCCCTGGCTGGAGTGCAGTGGTGCAATCTCAGCTCACTGCAAGCTCCGCCTCCCGGGTTCAAGCAATTCTCCTGCCTCAACTTCCCAAGTAGCTCAGACTACAGGTGTGTGCCACCACGCCCAGCTAATTTTTTGTATTCTTAGTAGAGATGGGGTTTCACCATGTTAGCCAGGATGGTCTCCATCTCCTGACTTCGTGATCCACCCACCTCGGCCTCCCAAAGTGCTGGGATTACAGGCCTGAGCCATTGCGCCCAGACAGGAAATATATTTTTATGTAGCCTATATGTAATTACTGATAAATCAGTTAACACTTGGGGCTTCATTTATAAGGTTTTTGAATATTGTTAATATTTAATATTTTAGTTAACTAATCACATTTGCAGCATGATCATTCTGCTCATGGATATTTAAAATTTTTAAATGTGTTAAGACTTTTAGCAAATTATGATAGATTGATCACAGATCTTTCAGAATTCCCCTAAATAACATAAAATATTTTTTAAAATTATATAGAAAAGAATAAATACAATAAAGGGTGGGTAGTGATAAGATGTCAGCACAATTTAGAAGATGGGAGGTCCGTTTATGTACAAGTTGTAAAGATGGAACAAATTCTAAAGGTTGGGCAGGAAGCTAAAAGAAGTAGAATATAATAAGAAGTGAAATCATTTAAGCAGAAGAACCGCATGATGCTCAGAAGCACCTTCGACGTGCAAGGAAAGTGTAGGTATTATCGATAGTGGAAATAGTCAAAAGACTTATAAGAAATATTTAGAAATCATCCTAAGCAACTTCCCCCACAACCCATGCTGGGGATTAGATTTATAGTGTAAGGAAAAACTAAGCTGTAAAGATTCTGGACTCAGGGGAGATTGGTATAGCTTAGGATGGAGAAGAAGCATCCCGGTGAAATCATAGGCACTCTGTATAAGTTTTTATGTAAAATGGTGATGTGATCTGCTATCTTCCTCGCTTGATTCCCAGAACACGTGCAACCCAACTTATATCCCAGCCCTGGCAAGCAACTGGAGGATTCTTTCTGGACACTAAAGTACCCTGTGAGAAAACAAATGCCTTATTAAATTTGAGTTTCCCATCAAACAAAAAGTTTCATTGTCTTATCATACAGTAATAAACTGCACTGGCCGGAAAGTTGTTCCAAAACACAGTACTTCCAAAAAGCATTTTTTTGTAACACATTTAAAAAGTATGTATCATTTAAAAAATATGAAACAAATTATCACTGAAAGCTTTTAAATCAAAAGTAAAGAAACCCAAACAAATGAAAGAAGTAAAAGAATAGACTTAGATCAGAAGATAACTTTTTTAAAAAGGATAAGTGTCTTTCCTGGAATATGATCATATAAAGTATTCATGATGAAGTGAACAGGGTGCTATGAAAACATTAAAAGGAGATACTTAAAGAATTCAAGCTTCAAAACTGAAAATACGATAGCATAAAAACATGAAACAAATCTGCTGGAAAAAAGGGTAAGGAAGTTTTTGATAAAGTATGAAAAAATAAGAACCTAAAATAAGAGATTAAAAAAAGAGAAGAAACTTGCATAATTAAATGAAGTGATACTATTTCCAAATAAGAAAAGCTATTTCAGAAAAAAAAAGGAGGAGAAAAAATTTTTAGAATTGTACAATAGAGATTTTCAAATAACAAGTTCTCTAGATCAGAAGGTCATATCACAAAATATGTCACATATGACTCACATGGCATCAGAGTTTTAAAAAGTACTACTGGAAGTGAGAACTGTCAAAAATTTAAAAAATTGTCTAGACTAGAATTTAATATCTAGCCACTTTTTAATACACAGTTTTAGACACATAGTATAGCAAAACAAACCCCCCAAAAAATCTATCTTTGCGTCCTTTCACAGCAGGTTACAAAGAATATGTTTCACCAAAACAAAACAAGTGACTAAACAAAGAAAGAGAATACCATGAAAATCAGGAAAGTAGAGATTTTATAGAAAACTGAGACAAAAATTACCAAGATAATAAAAAGGGACATTTTACGATCATATCTTGGTAATGGGTTAAGAAAAAGAACCTGCCCAATTGGGAGGAGGGCTTTAGAGAGCTTTAGGTGACAGTGATGTTGTCTCAAAGAATTAAAATGAAACTAAAGAATTAGCTGGCATGACTGATTATATAGACAGGAATTTTATAGTTCTATTAGAGCTTTGAAAATTAATATTTTAATTTGACAAATATTTATTGGGTTTTTAATATGTGTCTACTAGAAACATATGTTGTACTAGACACTTTAGGATACATCAGTGAACCAAAGAAAGACTGCTATCTGCCCTTCTAGAGCATATGATCAAGGAGAAAATGTTAGGCTATTATTAACTCCAGAAAAAAGCAAAACAAAAGCTGTCCAAGAAATAACATGTAATCACATTATACTATGTGGGTGTGGAACAGCTAAACATAACATTTACATAGCCATAATAATTTATACACTGGATTTGATTTAAACAAAAATTACGTTAAAATATTTTTATATTTTTAGTCTTTTTGAGAAGGGTATTTGGACCAGGGAATGGGAAATCAAAAGATAATATGTGAAATCGGAGACAAAGTGAACTAAAAGATACCTAAACATACAAACAATTCTTACTTCCCAATCTCTAACATAGATAAGCCATCATATGAGGACCTTTTTCTGCTGAGTCTGAGCCAGCTCTCCCTCTGAATTCTTCTCTACCGAGACCAAGAGGCAGCTGCTACTGGAACATATGAAGTGATATACATTTTCTTTCCCCAACTAAATGACCTCTAAAATCAGTTTCCATATCTCACATTACATAAATGTTCTAAATGTTATGATATGATGTACTATGAGGGAAAGCATTGCAAAAATTGAGAAGGAAGGTTAGGGTAGTGCAAATGAGAATAATGGAAGACGGGAATGGGGATTCTCATGCTATAAATTAATATGGAAAATTTTATTGTTAAAGAAAGATTATTTCCAGAATGATATCTGGTTGCAACATTAGAAGTAGGTGGTTAGTAGGCTCAATAATATAGATAATTGAACATGGCAAATCTAAAACCTTTCTAAAAGACATTATTGTCTTTTCTGAAGGATTGAAGAGGTTGTCAGCTTTGGAGTTCTGACTATGGAGCTATAGGCTTATTTTAGACAAATCACAGATGGAACTTTGATAGGTTTTACATTACTAAAGAAGTAGTTGTTTTCGTTGTTTTCATAAAATCACACTATGATTTAGTCTATTTCTCTGTCTACGTGTAAAATATTTAAATTCTGGGTTTTTAGATGCATGGTACTATGACAAAGATGTACTTTGGAAGCACTAAGTCCGAAGTTAGGTTCTGATCTAGAATTTAGTGTCTGTTCATTGGCAGTAAATTAGTAAATTACGTTCTGATCTAGAATTTACTGTCTATTCATTTACTGTCTATTCATTACTATTCATTCATGACTGTCTATTCATGATATTAATCGTAGAATATAGATAATACCAAGAAAAGTGAATAAATATGTTGATATGGTTTTGATGTTTGTTCTCTTCAAATCTCCTGTTGCAATGTAATCCCCATTGTTGGAAGTGAGGCCTAGTGGAAGGTACTGGATCATGGCGGCGGATCCCTCATGAATGACTTAGTGTCATCCCCTTGATGATGAGTGAGTTCTTTCTCTGTTCATGCAAGATCTACTTGCTTAAAACAGTGTGGCACCTTTCCCCTCTCTCTCTTGCTCCTGGTCTCGCCATGTGACTCCCCAAGCTACTCCCCCTTTGCCTTCCACCATGATCGTAAGCTTCCTGAGGCCCCTCCAGAAGCAGATGCTGGCAACAAGCTTCCTGTACAGCCTGAAGAACCGTGAGACAGTTAAACCTCTTTTCTTTATAAAGTACCCGGTCACAGATATTACTTCAGAGCAAGGCAAGAATGGCCTAACACATGTCTCCTGCCTTTGAGTTTCTTCAATGTACATAGTTTCTTCCACAGATTTTTTTCTCTCTTATTAAATCCTAGATGGAAAGTTTTGATATTTTGTGTGCACTGAATGTACACTGTAGCGTCAATTCACAGCAAAATAAGGTTAAATATCATTATTTTAAAATAGATTTTATATTTGCAACATTATTAAAATAGATTTTATATTTGCAACATTATTAAAATATATTTTAATGACATATTAAATAGGCCTCTATTCTACACTGTGACTTGCAAATTGAGATGCATATGCTCAATAAATAGTAATTTAATTTCTATAATATAAACAGTTGTTTCTCTTAATCTTTAATAAACAAGGCATTTTATGCCAAATTTCTTCCAGTAACCTCCTTGCATTTAATAAGGAATTGCATTTTTTTATTATTTTGAAAGTCAAAAATTTTAAAAGCTGCCTACTTAGTTATTAATAAATTGTTTTTGATTGGCATCATTATAATGTCCTTGTGTTTGAATCCCACTTCCCTCACCATTTCCTAATTGAAAATTTGAAAACTGAGAGTTTCCTAGAATAAACAAAATAATTCTGACTTACTATCTCTTCCTAAAATAAAGATAAATTGGGAATCAAGTAAGTGTTTATAAACAGTGCAATACAAACAGCTTACTTTCCAATGTTTTGGGAAGTGAACTTTAATCGAAATCTTGCTTGTAAATCGATTGCAGATTTGTAAGAAAGTGTATATTATTATAATGGCTTGGTAATAAGTATGACCCTTTGCAAAGGACATATCCTTAGGGTATTAATTTAACTTTCTCATAAGCAGGAGTAAAGTCCATATTTACCTCAGGGCACTTTTTATATTGCCAGAAATTAAGGTTTGCCTAGATAAAAGTATATTTCAAATAACCACAGAAAAGGCACTGTAAATGTAATTTCTGCCTTTATTGAAAAGCTTCTGTATAATACATACACCATTAAACTCATTGGATTACTCCCTTCCAATATAGAATGAAAATCATTTGAATTGCATGCAGTTAACTCTTAAGCTACAAAGCCTGTTTATAAATGCTATGATTTTGATGCTTTTTGCTTTTTCACGCACCCAATGACCATTCAGGGACCAAATCTGGCAGCTAACAATTTGCCATTCAACATTCTGTCAATAGATCTTTCTTTTAATAGCCTGTTACATTTTAAAAAGTGATTGAGCTAATTAAACACAACTGTGAAACTAAGCCGAGATTTAATTAACATTATTCGATGGCTTTGGGAAGTACATAATTATTAACAAAGATATATTTGAAATAACTCAAAGCCGAGCTAAATTCATTAATCCAGGCCTTTAGTATTACTTACTGCAGGCAACTTTTATATGCATTTCATTTTATATATACTTTCTGCAAAATGCTAAGATGTAGACAGCCATATGGTAGACCACTTGAAATGCAGACTACTTTTTAAAGTTAGAGAAATAGTGTAAATCTAATAAGTAAGTTCTCTTATCAAAAATATTTAATGTTTGTATTTTGTTATAAGCAAAATTATTTTTTGATGTTTTCAATTCTTTAAACACTTCAGAGTATTCGTTATCAAAGTATAGCAATGTATTATTGGCAAAATCCATCTACTATAAAACATAAAGTTAAAACCAAAGGAAAAAAACAATAGAAAAACCTTGTTATAGTGATGTTACCTATGTATTTGGAACTCTTGGATTTCCACTGATCATGGGCCTGAATTTCTGCCACTGCTTAACAAATTTCAATCATTGCAGGCAATCCAGCAGGTAGGGAAAATCATAGCTCTTGGAGTGTGCTTCAGCAATATGATACAATTATTACTGATTACTTGAGACTGTGGTACCTGACTCCTCTGAGGATTAATTCACCTGATTTCAGATTAGCACAGTACAGTTTCTAGTGCTCTAGTCCTTAGAGAGCTGCTACTATAATTATTGTATGTGGTACATGCTTCAGATGCGTCCTGTACAGTATTGCAAACAGTTTTATTGGTGTTAACATTATTAAATTCACATTAATTTTATTCATCAAAAGATTTCATGTATCCCTATTTCAGATTTTGACAAGTCATTATATTTTAATACCACTTATAAATTTTCGAAGAGCAAATAAAAATAATTAGAATACAGTAAGAGCTGTAATAATACTGCTTGTGACTAAGACTAGCAGCCATAAAAATTATTTTTATCCACTTTAATAAAATGTTATTTTAGGTATGGAGAATTACAATTACTACATCCATTTCATAGATGGCAGTAATTTGATATTATTGATGAAATAATAAACCAGAATAGAATGCTGGTTTTTGTTTGCTTTTTGGGGTTTACTTTATTTGTCACATACGGAAGTAAACTTTTGGCCAAAAGAAAAGTTAAATAAAATTCTACTATTTTGCTAAAATTATACAAAAACATTATGACAAAACCACTTTAAATTGTTATCCAAAATCCTTGCTTAACTTGCTTAAAGATATTTCAGTGAAAGAGACTCAACAAGTCACAGAAAACATGCAAACCAGGTAGAATACAAGTCCAAAGCTCTGGAAATTGCAACAGAAGGTATACTTAGTTCCAGCTAAGGTAGTAGTAAGTGGGTAAGAACTTTTGTCAAAACCCGGAAAAAGTCACATACACATACACAAACACACTAATAGTAGGAGAAAAATCATGGTGGAAAAAACGTAAATTTATTGATGAATTCGATCTCCCACTTCAGCTTGTAGAGCACAGGCTGCCCAGTTTTTAACACCAGAGTGAAAAACAAAAGACACACAAAATAAAGCAGCCGATTTTTGTTTGTTTACATTGAGACGACCTGGGGAAAGTGAAAAGTTCTTTTATGGGAAGAATCATCCTAATTCTCAAGTTGTGGGGGTTGCCTCACAGCCTATCCTTAGGGTCCTTTCTTATACCTCCTAAAGCAAAGCCTGACAGTACATATTCCACCCACTTGTACAAAGTTCCTACCCAGGCACACTTTCCACTAAGAAAGAAATCTTTCGGAAATAAATCTACCTGCACAATCCCAAAGGAAACCCAAATTAGGTATATTCATATTAGTTAAAAGTGGAGAGGAACACAGGACATTTCTAGGAAAACTCGAGAAAACCAAAGGTGGCTGTAAAATTTCCTAATGACATGTAAAGAATATGACAGTTTTGAGACCTCACAGAGGAGCACATAGCAAAGAAATAAGCCACTTTGCCCTCACAGAGCACTAAGCAGGTCAGAAGTGAGGATCAAGACTAATTTCAAGTCATATAGTCTATCACCAGCGAAACTATCAATCAATAAAATGGTAGACTAAAGATGTTTTCAGAAGGGCCAAGATTCAGAAATCCTGTAATCCTCCAATGAGCCTTTTCTTTTTATTTTTTTTCAGCTTTATTGATGTACAATTGAGAAATAAAAACTGTATATATTTATGGCATGCAATATAATTTTTTGATATAGATATACATTGTCAAATGTTTACTACAGTCAAGCTAATTAACATATCAATCACTTCACATAGTTACCCTTTTGCGTGGGAAAGAGAGTGTGTGAGAACATTTTATGTATAATTTCTTTGCAAATTTCAAGTATACAATGCAGTGCCAATAGCTATAGTCATAATGATGTGCATTAGATCTCCAGAATTTATTCATCCTGCATGGTTGAACCTTTGTACCCTTTGTCCAACAAACATTTTCTTTGGAAGTAATTTGAGACGGTGATCCAGTAAAACAGAAGAGAAAACCGAGGAAGAAACGAATTACTTCCTGGTATTGCTACAGCAGACACAATCTTGGGGAGCTAAGGGAAGTCTCGGTAAGCTCTGGGTCTTGAGAGCAAACCTCTTCTAGAGCAGGTAGAGATGGATCTAGAGGGGGAGGGTTATGGAAATGGCTGTCCTATATCAGAACAGGTATAAAAGAACATATGAGAAATATGATTTGCTAAAAGAAATTCTCCTTTTCCAGGGAATTTTAATACTATTCAGTGACCAAGAAAACACTTTTTCTTTACAGTGGTTTCTTGGAGTTTTTTTTGTTTGTTTGTTTGCTTATTGAGTTTGTCAGATTTTTATTCTAAATCAATTCTAAAGAAGCAAAGTGTTCATACTACACTTCAAATTCTGATTATAAATTATTGGTAAGTTTGATTTTAAAATAAATATAAGATTTTTGTTAAAAAGTGCAATTCTCTGACATTTTGGACTGAGTGAGCCTAATGCCATGTGATGAGCACTTTTTAATAGAAAGTAAGCTCACCCAACACTCGGATCAATATTTTCTGGAATGTCAATCAAGCTTAGAAAGCACAACTGTTCAGCACAATAAGCTTAAAATGCCTCAGAAATAAAAGTGCAAGGAACTGTAGGCTTAATATTTAGAAGCAAAGAGAGTTCATATCTGAATACCTCCACGCCAGCTCTCAGGCCACTATATTCATGCTGTTGCAGAGCTTTCTTCAAACCTCACTGAAGGCCATTTACTTAACTTTAGGGGATTGAGCAGCACATTTAACATTGTATAGAAACTTTTCAGTTATATACTCAGTTCTGGCTCTTAAGCTCTTCCATTGCACACTGATCACAGGTGTTGCATAATGATGCTGACATAACTTTTGTCATGGCCAGAAGCTAGTCGTGATTTTCTGAGAAAATGGCAAAAGAAAAAAGAAAGTTATCATTTTCCCTATAATGTTAAATTTCCTTTGAGAGCTAGTTTAATAATTCTGCAATAGGGAGGAGGTATGTCAATATTAGGTTCAATAACATGAAGACTTGTAACTGTTAGAGGGGAAAAAAAGGAATAAGTGATCTCAAACCTTAACATTTTCTTTAGTCACACGTATGCAAAAAACAGTATCAGGTGGAGAGCAATACACTATATTAATTTGGGGTATTTCTCAGACCTAGATATGTATGGTTTTTCTGTCTCCATTCTGTCAAGAATTTAAAAACACTGCTTTAGAAATTGAGAACAAATAGCATTTTATGAAATCTTTGAATTGTGATGTTTTATCTTTCAAGAATCTGAGAGAATTAACGATTACCTTTGCATGAACAATTGCACAGACATTTTTCCTTAATGTTAAGTCAATAAATTGTTATGAAGTATATTTGTATTGAGATAGAGCGTTGTGATAAAACTTTTAAAATTAAAAATGTCTATATAGAAGAGTACTACAGAAGCAAATTTATTTTGGATTAATTTATAATCTTTTCAAGTCATGGCTCAAATGAGAAATTTTATAAGTTTATAAAAGCAACAGTAGAGATATGACATAGATGGAATGGCACTTGCCTTAAGAAATGTTATATGAGGCCGGGCTTGGTGGCTCACGCCTGTAATCCCAGCATTTTGGGAGGCTGAGTCGGGTGGATCACCTGAGGTCAGGAGTTCAAGACTAGTGTGGCCAACATGGCAAAACCCATCTCTACTAAAAATACAAAAAATTAGCCGGACGTGCTGGCACATGCCTGTAATCCCAGCTACTCGGGAGGCCTATCACTTGATAGGAGGAGAATCACTTGAACCAGAAGGCAGAGGTTGCAGTGAGCCGAGATCACGCCATTGCACTCCAACCTTGGAGACAGAGTGATACTCTGTCCCACCACCACCCCCCACCCAAAAAAAAAAGAAATGTTACATGAAAATCTGCAATTACAGCTAATATTGCCTTTATAATGAGATCTTTAAACATACAAAGGATTTACTGTAAGTGTTTTTCAGATGGTAAATTTGCCTATAACTTATTATATGATACAAATGTAAAATACAAGTGAAAAATCCTTATATTTTCAGAACTGTATCACCTTCATAAAGTAGATTACACCTAAATTTTCTTCCCCAAAGTGAAACTAGTTATTTGATATTTGCTGTTAAATAGTACATAAAGCAATATAAACTTCCATGAAGCTCAAATGATTCTGTGTAGAATGGCTTTTAAGTGCTCCAAATAAATACCAACATGATTGCATAAGCAGGCACGGTCTCTCCAATGGGTCTCTGTGAGCCTCAGTGTCCTTACCAGAAAGACTGCAAAAATAATATTTAGGGTAAGAGTTATTCTTATTATGAATATTTAAAAGAGGTAAACTACCTAGCAAGATTTTCTGGCACAAGATTAAACAGACATTAGGATCCTTTCTTCCCTTTCTCCCTTCCTCCCTCTCTTCCTCCCTCCCTCTCTGCCTGCCTTCTTTCCTTCCTTCCTTTCTTCTCTCTCTTTCTTTCATTCATTCTTTTCTCTCTTCTTTCTTTTCTTTCTCTCTCACTTATTGTCTCTCTTTTCTGGATGCGTCCTACATCTGAGCTAACAATTTAAAACCATTGAAAATATTTTCAAACATATGGGCAGTTAGAAAAGGCAAATATTTTAATACCTAGAAGTATTCAATGGCATTTACTATATTAAATTATGACTTAAAATATATATTTATATTTATTTATATACATATATTTAAAAACATACCACAATGTTTACAGTCACTGAGATACAGTGTTTTTGTTTTTGGACTGTGTTTCTATATTGTTTCTTAAGTACTGCATAGTAAAAAACAAAAACAACCCAAAAACTAAAGTAGTGAAATATTTAATTCCAAAGTTTAAACAATTAAAAAAATTAATGACACTAATTTGTTATTTCTTAGGTCTGTTTGTTACATTACTAAGAATGTTAATTAAAGCCATCTTAAGATGTCCTTGATTTTACTTTTAGTATTTTTCCTGCACTTCTGGTAGCAAAGAATCCAAAATGAAAGTTAAATCTGCTGTATATTTGAAAGTATTTTATCTGTTTGCCATTATCTGTGAACTCTTAGCTACTACTGCCCAGTAATCCATGACCTACATGTTAAAGGACTTTGATATTTTTATGGTCAAAATAAATTGTTTCAAAGTCATTTCCATTTCCATTTTCTGTAATGCCATGAGCATGCTAGGCACTAAGTAAATGTTAATTGAGTTAAATTGTTAATTGAATGACTTGAATAAACCATGAGCTTCAGAAAAACTTTTAGATGAGTAATTGGCTCAGCAACTTTTTAAAGCCCCAAACTATTTGTCAAAGGAAATACAAAAGAAGTCTATGGATTCAAAATAATTAAAAAATGAACTGATCATAAAATCATGTAAAATTTTTCTATTAGGATCATTTAGAATGCAATATGAAACTGATTTCATCTTAATGTGGCATTTCTAAATACGAATGACATATTTGTGCAAAACACGCATGCATTGATATATTAGTTCCCTGTTGCTGCTGTAAAAATTTACCACCAATTTGGAAGCTTAAACAAGACAAGTCTACTATCTTTCTGTTCTTTAGGTTGAAAGTCTCACTAGAATAAAATCCAGGTGTTGGCAGGGCTATGTTTCTTTTAAAGGCTCTAGTGCAGAATCCATTTCCTTGCCCTTTGCTCCTTCTAGAGGTGACCAACATTCCTTATTTCATAGCCCCCTTCCATCTTCAGAGTCAGCAGTGTTGAATCCTCTGTGCCTTTCCTCCATAGTTACATCTTTATTTGACTGACTAAACTTTTGCCATCCTCTTTTCACTTTTAGGCACCCACCTAATTCCAGTGTGCCCATCCAAATGATTCAGCATAATTGTTTTTATCTTAATGTCACCTGATTAGCAATCACCAAATCCATCCACAACCTTCAATCTTTTTTTCCAGGTAACCTAATATATTCTCTTGTTCTGAGGATTAAGATGTGGGTTCTGCCTATCACAATAGAAGAAAGAACAGAAAAGAAAAAAAGGAAAGAGAAAGGAAGAAAGGAAGGAAGGAAAAAAGGAAGAAAGGAAGAAAGAAGGGAAGGAAGGAAGGAAAGAAGGAAGGAAGGAAGGAAGGAAGGAAGGAAAGGAAAGGAAGGAAGGAAGGAAGGAAGGGGCCAGGCGCAGTGGCTCACGCCTGTAATCCCAGCACTTTGGGAGGCTGAGGCGGGTGGATCACGGGGTCAGGAGCTTGAGACCAGCCTGGCCAATATGGTGAAACCCCATCTCTACTAAAAATATAAAAAGTTAGCCTGGCATGGTGGCGCAGGCCTGTAGTCCCAGCTACTCAGGAGGCTGACGCAGGAGAATCGCTGGAACCCGGGAGGCAGAGGTTGCACTGAGCTGAGATTCTACCACTGCACTCCAGCCTGGGCGACAGGTCAAGACTCTGGAAAAAAAAAAAAAAAAAAAAAAAGGAAGGAAGGAAGGAAGGAAGGCAGGTGGGCAGGCAAGAAAGCTATAAATAGACTTTTTTGTTGCTGTTGTTAAACACGAGGGTTTGCATTTGAATAGTCATTTTGGGAACTGTTCCCAAAGAAGGTGATTTAGGGATTGAGAAACATGAGGCAGGTGAGGAAGGCAAGCCAATCCAAGGGTATATTATCTAGCTAATCACCTCTGTGGGCCTCTGGGGTTCAATTCTGTTTGGGATCCTTGATTGGACTGTGTAGAATGCATAATAGAAGTGTTTGTCCAAAGGATGAAACAGTGCAGTCCTTATGCACCAGCTCCTGTCCTTGAGGGTGCTAACCACTTGTGCTTTCCCTTTTGCACTTATATCATGATGGCTAAGCAGGTTCCTTTAAGTACTTTATTCCATATTGGAAGAGAAACATTGCAGCAGAAAGCTATACAGTGGGCAAGTTGCCAACAGGCTGCATATGCGTGCAGCCACAGTAATAATTAAAATGGGCCTACATCTCCTTGTCATTATTTGCCAAAGTTATGTACAAAAATGAACTGGTCTATGAAGCAAAACGTGTTGGGAAAGATGCAATTAAAGCTGAAAATTCTGAATCGTACTTTGGGTACTGATGGTTGTCTTGGTCTGATTTATACGAAAAGATCATGTGAATGACAAAGTGCAGAGATATTACATATTAGAAAATAGTAGAAAATATCTAAGAGAGCTATATGAATTAATGGAAAACTAATTCATAACAGTATTATTATTCATAGAAAATCCAATCCATTTTAGAGAGCATGGCTTGGCTGCCATAATACTCAAAATCAGATAGCTAATGGTAATATGGTGGTGGTGAGAGATCTTTTATAGAAAAAATCTTTGCCCACAGCTAGCTGGAATTATAGAAAAAAATGATCAACTCTCAAGGAAAATCTGAAAGTATAACCACAGCAGACTAAACAAATTTAGGTAATCTGTATAGTATTGGGAAGCAATACAGTAGGAAACAGAACAAAGACCTATATTATCTATCACTGATGATGATGATGATGATGATGATGATGTTGATGGATATATATTGGTGTTCGCAAAGTATTTCTTGCATTAATAACCCTGCTAGTTTAGGCTTCACTTTTAACTGAATTTCAGTCATTTATTTAAAGTAGAATGTGGAAGACTGTAATTCTTCACCTCTCCCCGAATCCACATCCTTTGCTGTGTGACTTTGCAGTTTCTCTAATTAGAGTGTATTTCTCCACCCCATTGTGTTGAATTCAGCTAACCAATTGTTTGGCTAATGCAATATTGGAGGAAAGGATACTGTGTGAGTTATGAGCCTTAACAAACATTGTGTGTTTCTTTTGCCATTTTTGGATTTTGTCGTATCCATGAGAAATTCTGCCCCAGGTGGTCTGCTGGTCCTAGAGGAATAGGAGACTGTGTGAAGCAGAGCTGAACACAGTCCATGGCTTGGAGCCATGCCCAGATGAGATCAGCCTGTATCAGCTCTGTTCCAGCTAACCCACAGGACGGTGAGCATGAGAATGTCGGGTTGTTGTTTTAAAGCACTTTGATTTGTAGAATGTCATATTGTGTTATTGCAACAGTAACTGATATATAAGCTATTTCTCATAATTTTTCTATCATTATTTCATCTTTGAATGAAACAATTTCAAAACTAAATGGCCACTTGGTCTGCAAGGTTCACTTCATGTTTTTTCTTACTTGCTTTAATCAGTGACACCAACTTAATCCTAGCTCCCACACTGGAATCCTGAGTCGCATTTGTCTTTTGTTTCTTCATTTATTTACCAATGGGACTTGAAAAATTTTTGAAGACTTTGATGTAATCTTTTCTGCCCAATCTCCAAAGCTGACTTTCTAGACCTAGGTTCTCCTAATCAAATTGTTATATTAGAAAACTTGGCCCTTAGATGCTATTTTCTGTAGCCTGTCTTTCCATACAATCATTACCAACATCAATGGCATCATCATCAGTAATATTTATTCCTTCTTTATTCCTCCTTCCCCCTTTCTTTAGTGCATTAATTTATACTTTCATGGGCATCTATTAAACATTTATTACGCACAAATACTATCGATGGCATTGAAGATACATGCTAGAATATGACTGAGGCTGTCTTCAAGGTAACAATCAGATTACTCTTAAAGTTTCTATCATGTTGGGATCAAATCTGTTAGTGACAGTCTCAAAAAACAAAATTAGTAACACAAAAAACAAACAAACAAAACAAAAAGTCTCCCTTCTCAACCAGAAAGTGTTGTTATTTTCTAGGGTAAAATTAGTTACAAAAGTGCCAGTACCCAACCTATTTTTTACCTTGTTGGGACAACTGCAATATTTTATATATAATACACAAAATATTCCACTTAAACATTTAAATCATTATAAGCTTTGTGATTAAAAGTTGAAATTTATAGCTTTTCTTTTTTTGTTGTTAAACAGTTATGACTTTTTCAATGTCTTTATTTGTTTTCCCTTTAAATATCAATGAACGTGGTTAGAGCACCCATAACCATGATAACTAAAAGCAGAGCATACATAATTCTAATCTTCTCATTTGGAACTTTGGCCCCATCTAACTTGCCTGCAACAACGCTCTTAGTTTATTGTACTCTTAGGGTCACAGTACTGCAAACATTATGTAATCTGTTTTTAAAAATTATGCTGAGATCAACTTCATCGTGGTTCTCAAAATTCTTTAGTACTTAACCCAACAAGGTTGCTTCCCCTCTTTGTAAAAGCTTCCCATATGACAGTTGTTTCTTGCAATCCTATATCAAACACTGGCCAGAGTATAGAGCTTATACTTGCAGATTTCACCATTGTAGGGGAAGACAGAAAAGAAATTTAAGCAAAAAACAGGGTGAGCATTTGTTTTTTGTAGAGCAAATGAATACACAAAGACAGTGGGATAGACATGGGAAGAAATCCTCATTTCTACATTGAGCTGGGAATAGAAAGAGCTATAGAAGATACCAGCGAATTCTCATCAAAAGCAGTAACATGGATTTTGGATTTTAAAAATAAATAATTTGCCAATCAGAGAAGTCTGTCTGGACACAACTGGAATTTCTTAAGTACCTAATGTTTACCACCAAATTATGTCATTTATTTCTGAAAACAGTCACAGTTTTATAATTATCTCTACTGTTAGAAATTATCTCTACTATTAGAAAATAATAAATCAAACAAGTTAATCCTTGTACCTAATATTATCCAATAGTTAAATGGTAGAATTGGGATAAACTTCAATCCGATGCTCTTTCCATTCTAAGCACTGAGAATAGCAGGCTCAAGAGCAAGCAAAGGTATAGGAAACACAAGCATGTATAAGAAAAGGCAAGGAAGTCAGGGTGACATTCTTGCTGTGAAGCTGTAAAACTGTGATGTTATTGAGGGATCTGCATCTTTTTTAATGGTCTCTTTATGTTGGAAATGTAAAATTGCCTGAAGAAAAGGAGTGGGAAAATAGATCAGATTTTGATTTGCTTTATTTCATGTATTATTGAGTAGATACATAAAAATATATGTAAGTTGAATTTCTATAATGTGGACTTTCTTTCTCAGTTAACTTACTTTGGAGAATTACAAGCTTAAAGGAATCAATGTTACTTCAATAGAAAACAGATCCTAAGAGTTGGGTGTGTAATTAATAATTCATAAAAATATATACATTTTTAGGTAGGTATCTATGGCTTCAACATCTATTTAAGTATCTTATTATTATGTACTCTTAAGTTTTGAGAAGGAATTATAAAATTTATAATTTTAATTGTATAATTTTGTGGTCAAAGAATATGTTGTATCTAACATATTAATCATTCTTTGGGATGTGTTAAGAACTTTGTGGTGTTGTATGTGTCCAATTTGTAAAATATTCCAAATGTGCTTAGAAATTTGAATATTATGTATTCTTGACTTTCTGAAAACAGGGTCATTTTTCTCTGCTAAACTTATTACTTGCATAATCAATTTGTCAGATTTATTCTCTAAGTCAATGTCCCTCATGATTCCCATGATGTTTTAGCATCTGGTTTGTGTATTTACTGTGTTCTGTGACTTTTCTATGCTTCTTATTTTCTCTTTTCCTGACTTCCATTGTATTAATATTTTATTCACTCCCTCCATCCATACTATATTCCAAGGACATACTCCTCCTAATCTTTTATAGGCTATGTTTATAATTTAATCTTCATATTAAGTTAAACAAGTTTTAAAATTTTGTTTTTCTTTTTAAAGGATGTTGGGAGACAACTTGCATCATGATATATTAAAATAAACAATATACTCACTTTTTAACAATACAATATTGATGCAGACATCAAAACATAGATATGTGAGGCACAAAGGAAAGTTCAGGAAAAAAACACTGCATATATGGAAATGTAATATATCAAAAAATTATACTTCAATTACTTCAATGTAGTGGAAAAATAGAAGTTAGCAAATTTTGCTTGTACAACTGAAAGAAAATAAAGTACCACATAACTCACAGCTTACCTACAGAAAAATGATTTTGACAAAATTTCAAATATATTAAATATCTAAACATAAAACAAAAATGTGAGGAGAAAAATGCATACATGCACAGACACATGTAAACACACCAATGTTGGATATAAAACCCAAAATCTCTAAAGAAAAGGATTTAGTTATACAAATATTTACAATTGTTTTTATAATGCAAACTATATATTAAACAAAATCAAATGACAAAAAATAAATTGTAAAAATATGTGCCATGCATGTGGCAAATATAAGGTTCATATATATTTCTTTATTTGAAATTTATAGTTAACAGATTGTTGTTTAATTATTGTTTTAGCTAAAACACACTATTTTTTTTTTTACTGTAAGTCACTCACTGTTTATAAATAAGCAAAAGCATTGTATAGACACTTTTAACCTTTCTTTACCTTAAAAATTTGTCTCTTCTGGATCATTTTTTGAATTGAATTCCCTGGTATTCATGGTTTTCTTTACAATATCATCCTCTGTGACACCACAAGCATTAGTAATGCAGAATTTCTTTAAATAACTAACTTAAAAAGTGAAAGCCATTAATGTTGGCATTTAAGTGGCCTTTGGAATTCTGTAGACAGAATAAAGTATTTCTTTGAGGCTTTTTAAGTTAAAGTAAAATATAAATAAATTGTAAAACTTAATTAGTTTTAAAAATAGACATACTTACTAACATATCTTCTAGATATAAATATAGAATACTGCAAACACCCACAAATTTTGGTCCACTTATAAACTGGTGGATAAGTACGCCATATTTTAGTCCATTTGTAAATTAATTATGAATTTGTAAATGTTTTAAATACAAAAATATATGACCAAAGTCCAAAAACAAATTAAAACAAATAATATTAATAGGTAATTCCTAGAAAAGGAAATTCCAGTGGCATATGTGTAAAAACAGAATTTCAACCCTTACTAGATATCAGGAAAACACAATTGATTATAAAATACACTCTCCCCAAAATAATGAAGGGTGCTTACTCTTGTCAGGAATTCAGTATAAAGGAGCGCTTTAATGTATTGCTGATTAGGATTGCTGATATTAATAAATTTTGAAAAATAAAGAGGACGCCATATCCTCTCATTTAAACCATGTATAGCATTTCACCCAGAAATCACAGTTCTGGGCATCTGTACTATTAAGAAAAAATAGGTAAATGTTAGTACAAAGTTAGTTGTTTGTTTAGTTACTCCAAAATGAAAATGAAGTGAATGTCTAGTAATAGGGGCATGGGTAAATGTACTAGTCACCATTCAGGAGGAATGAGATATATTTTTACCTGCTAAAATATAAGGAATAAGTTAAAAATAATCAAAATGCAAATAAATAAATAAAATATAATCCTTCAGATTACTTTTTAAAAGTTTTTTTAATACATTGAGGACTTATTTACCATTTCCTTTTAATCCAGTTGTTTTTAAGGTTTTGTTTTCTTTCTCAGCAAATTGCACCTTTCAGTAAATTCAATCTTTGAATCATTGGGGGCTGTAAATTCTGTCACTTGACTTCGTGTTCGTGAAACTGTTGTATTTCACAATGTTGAAGCACATTTAGCTAATCTAAAACAATTCAACAGGGGCCAGCCTTGGTGGCTCACACCTGTAATCCTAGCATTTTAGGAGGACAAGGCGGGTGGATTGCCTGAGCTCAGGAGTTCAAGACCAGCCTGGGCAACACGATGAAACCCCATCTCTACTAAAATACAAATATTAGCTGGGCATGGCGGCATGCACCTGTAGTCCCAGCTACTGGGGAGGCTGAGGCAGGAGAACTGCTTGAACCCAGGAGCTGGAGGTTGCAGTGAGCCGAGATCGGGCCACTGCACTCCAGCCTGGGCAACAGAGCAAGACTGCATCTCTAAAAGAAAAAAAAATAATTCAATAGGACTTGATGAAAAATTGTTGAAGACTTCTAAGTAATCTTTTTTGCTCAATTTCCAAAGCTTACTTTCCAGATCTAGGTTCTCATAATCAAATTATTATATTAGAGAACTTCAGCTTTTGGGGATAATATTTACATTCAGCTTTTTGGGATAATATTTCATTGTTTTCTTTTTTGTTACATGAAAATATGTGCTGTGTATCTTATTGCAACCTATTACAGGTAATTTGCATTTTCATTCTCACAGTTTTAAGGTTTTTATCTCATCTTTGTGGTCTAATGTCTCTCTTTATTCCTAAAAATGTGCTACTTTTATCTCTTTGAAATCACCTCTTCAGAACTCCTATTAAACATTAATTATAAACCTTCATTTAATTGTTCTTGTTTCCTAATTTTAATTTTATATTCTGAAAAAATTTATCTATGCTTTGGAGGATTTCCTCAAATCTATTTTTCATTTATGAATTCTCTGTAAATTCAGCTCTAAATAGACTAGTATTCAGCATTTCTATCCAATGCTAAAGAAGTATCTTATTTTAAAATTACATTTTCTAAAAACTAGCTTGTTCCTTTGCCAGATTTTCTTTTTATTACGTTATTGATTCTGTTCTTACCATGTTCTCTATTCATTTTAAAACACAGTCATTTAAAACATTTTCTTGAGAATGATCTGTTTTCTTTACCTCTTATGAATATGAATGCTTTTGTTTGTGTCTTCTGACTTTTCCTCAAGGTGTCTGATTACAAAAATTTTTGAATGATGAGCTTACCTTCTACAGAAGTTGTTTCCAAAGGGTAGTTTGATGCCATAGATTCTAATGTAATTCCCCTGAAATGGCTTTGCATTTAAATTTGTATTTATATCTGCCTGTGAAACGGTCTCCTGGGTTGCCCATGGGTTGTTTTTTCATCTCAGGATTTGAGCATTGTAAATGAGTGCGAAAAGTCCCAATACCTGTGTATAGTATAAGGGTTTCCACTTTTAAATTATGGCTCTTTTATCATTGAAAGCCCAGGTGAACAGCTCAAGTGAAGGACATGTTACCATACTGCATTCCCAATCTAGGAAGAAGAATGTTTCTAATCCTATATGGAGATGGGTCATCCTTTCTCAATTCTTGGATTTATCAACAAGACAACTGTGCCTATCTGCTGCACATAAGGCCAGGGTCCTTGATTACTATCCCCACATAATTTTGGATCATGAGTCCTAGACAGCACACAGTGCACAATTCCCATGCTCATGTAGGTCATTCAGTTTCAACTTCGACTCTCCATTCTTGTTTTACATTCTCACTTTATTTTTGGTTGCTGTGGCTTTTTCTTTCTTATTTTTCAAATTTGCTATGTATTAACAATTGTATATTATCCAAAATTTCATTTTTATAGTGAAGATAGAGCTTTGTATATTATCCCCTGTCATAGTGATAAGAAACGTGAATTTGATAAAAATCTCCATTTACAGTAAATCTGTAGCAAACATTTTGAAAAATGATCATTTCATGATTTAAGTTTATGCTTATGTACTAATAAATACATTTAAGAGAAACAAGAAGCTCTACTTAGCTTTGAATAGATCTTGAACCTTCATAATGAGATTATCACTTTGTTTTTCTCAAGTGTTACTCATAGCCTGTGATTATGTACAATACACAAATGCCAAAAAAATGCCAGCAACATATGGAGATGGTCATTTATGTTGGAGTTAGCATTTTGGTGCTGTTATATGGGCATCTGTTGACAGCAGATGCAACTTAATATTACTTTTAACTAAAGTCCCGAGAAAAACAAATATAACAGTAAGTAAAAATCTGTCATTTCTGTTTTCAGTGTTCATACAACTAGGGAATGTTCTTTTTAAATATAATATTTCCATACAGTAGATTTAAATAAGCATGTTTTAGCTAAGCTTCAGAAAGTTGGTTTTGTTTGTAGCATGTTCAGTATATTAAATTCATGGTGTAGATACTAATTCTTTAAGTCTGAATGACAGATATTTAATTTTTTGAAATTTTCAAAAGGAAATTGTAAGATAATTACAAATTATAATTCTAGTATCTAATGTTATTCAAATATATTTTTATACATTTAAGTATGGTGACATATCTACTATCTACTACTTACTTATATATTGTTTTTCTAATTTTGCAATTGACTTTTCCATTAATCAACTTGAAGAAAAACATAGGAAAAAAGAAAAAAATAAAGAAAAGTAGCCTACATGATTGGCTGTTTACCTTATAGTTAAACAATCTGAATATTAAATATTTCAATGTGATTAAGTCTTGGTAGGTTGCCTGTGTCTAGGCATTTTATCCAGTTTTTCTAGGTTATCCAATTTGTTGGCATATAACTATTCACAGTAGTCTCTTACAATTATTTGTATTTCTGTGGTTTCCATTGTAATTTTTTTTTCAATTCAGATTTTATTTGTCTTCTTTCTTTTGTTAGTCATAACTAGTCCATCCATTAACATTAAAGCATGCTGACTTTTACAAATGACGTTTCTTCATCTATTGAGATGATCATGTGGTTTTTATTCTTCATTCTGGTATTTCAATTTTATCTTTTTAAAAAAATACAACTCAAGTTAGTTGATCTTTTGTATTATTTTTATAGTTTCTGTTTCATTTATTTCTGCTCTAATCTTTATTATTTTTTCCTTCATCTAACTTTGGGCTTAACTTATTCTTGCTGCTTCTAGTGACTTGAGGAAAATGTTAAGTTGTTTGAGATCTTCTTTTTTAATGTGGACATTTATTGCTATAAACTTCTCTCTTAAAGCTGCTTTTGCTCTATTCTTTAAGTTGTGGTATATTGTGTGTCCATTTTTTATTGTCTCAGGATATTTTTAAATTTATCTCTTAATTCTTTATCGACTCATTGGTTTTTCAGAAACATGTTGTTTAATTGTGATGTATTTGTGAATTTTCTCAAATTCCTTCTATTATTGATTTCTAGTTTCATATTGTCATCAGGAAAGATACTTGATATAATTTCAATCTTCATAAAATTGTAACATTTTATTGCATGGCCTAAAATACTATTTATCTTGGAGAATGTTCTGTGCGCACTTAAGAAGATTCTCCAGGGGTTGTATGGTATGCCCTGTGTATGTCTGCTAATTCCACTTGGTCTAAAGTGTAGTTTAAGTCAGATGTTTCCTTTCACTTAATCTTTCCTACTCCTAATACCACTCTCTCTCAAACTCTTCCAAGAAATTGAAGGAAAGATAATATTTCCAAACTCATTTTACCAGGTCATCATTACCCTGATTCCAAAGCCAGACAAAACTACAAAAAAATTATAGGCCAATATTCCTGATGAACACAGGTGAAAAAAACCTCAACAAAATACTATCTCACTGAATTTAACAGTACATTTAAAAGATTATTCACCATGATCAAGTGAAATTTATTTCCGGTAAGCAAGGATCGTTAAACACAGGCAAATCTATAAATATGGTACACACATCAACAGAATGAAGAAACAAAAAGATATGTTTATCTCAATAGATGAAGGAAAGGCATTTGACAAAATCAACATCCTTTTATGATAAACACCCTTAAACATTAGATTTAGAAGGAATGTACCTCAACACAATAAAGACAATATATATGGTAAACACAGCTAACATCCTTCTGAACAGTGAAAAGGTGAAAGCTATCCCTCTAAGACCAGAAACAAGACAAGGATGCCCATTCTCACTACTTCTATTCAACATAATCCTAGATGTTCTAGCTTGAGGAGTTAGGCAAGAGAAAAAAAATACAGATTACATGATATAATATATAGAAATCCCTAAAGACTCCACCAAAAACCAAAAAAATAAAAGTAACAAATTCAGTAAAGTTGCAGGATATAAAACGAAAATATAAAAATCAGTATCATTTCTATCCACTAACATTGAACTCTCTGAAAAAGAAATCAAGAAAACAATCCCATTTACAATACTAACCAAAAAAATCAAATACTCAGGCATGAATTTAAGACCTCTACACTAAAAAAAACTACAAAACATTGGTGAACAAAAATAGAAGAAGAAACAAATAAATGGAAATACATTCTGTGTTCATGAATTGCAATAATTAATAATATGAAAATGTTCATACTACCCAAAGATATCTACAAATTCAATGTAATCTCTTTCAAAATGCTAATAACATTATTTGCAGAAATAGAAAAAAATCTTACAGTTTGTATAGAACTACAAAAGACCCTAAATAGACAAAGCAATCTTGAAAAATAAATAAATAAATAAGCTAGAGGCATCACACCTCCTGATGTCAAAATATACTACAAGGCTATAGTAACCAAAACAGCCTGGTACTGCCATATAAACACAATCATAGAACAATAGAACAGAATAGAAACCCCAGAAATAAATCCATGTGTTTATGGGCAATTGATTTTTGACAAAGGTGCCAACAGTGCAAAATGGAACAGGACAGTCTCTTCAATAAATGATGTTGGGACAGCTGGATATCATAACAATACAATTAGATCAGTATCTAATACTACATACAAAAATCAACTCAAATAAGTTAAAATTCAAATGTAAGACTTGAAACTATAAAACTACTAGAAAAATACAGGGAAAAGTTTCATGACATTGGTCTAGACAATATTTTTTTGGATAGGAATAAAAAAGCAGAGACAACAAAAGTAAAAATAGAAAAATGGGATTACATCAAACTAAAAATCTTTTGCACAGCCAAAGGAACAATCAATAGAGTAAAGGGACAACCTATAAAATGAGAGAAAATATGTGCAAACCATACATATGATAAGGGGTTAACACCTAAAATATATTAAAAACTCAAAAAACTCAACAGCAAAAAATGAATAGCCTAATTAAAATGTGGACTAGAATACATATTTTTCAAAAGAAGACATTCAACCTGTATATGAAAAAATGTTCAATCATCAGAGAAATGTAAACTAATAACTAATCATCATAGAAATGTAACTAATCATCAGTGAAATGTAAATCAACACCACCACGTCACTTAACACTCAACAGAATGGCAATTATTAAAAAGAAGAAAGATAATAAGTGTTGACACGGATATGGAGAAATGGAAACCTTTGCATAGTGTTGGTAGGAATTTAAATTAGAACAGTCAATATAAAATACTACACAGAGGTTCTTCAAATACATTAAAAATAGAAGTGCCATATGACCAAGCAATCCCACTCATTTTTAAAAGAGATAAATCATTATGTTGAAGACATATCTTCACTCCCATGCTCATTGCAACATTAGTCACAATAGTCAAGATATGGAAAGAGCCTAAGAATCTATCAAACGATAAATAAACACAGAAATGTAGTATAAATATATATGTACGTGTATATATATGTATAAATGTATATTTATGTATACACACACACACTATGGAATATTATTCACTCCACTCCAAAGCCTAAGAAAGAAATCCTGTTATTTGTGTAACATGGTTGAACTGGGAGGACATTGTTTTAAGTTAAATAAGCTAAGCACAGAAAGATGAATACCACTTGATTTCACTTATGTGTGGAACCTACAAAAGTCAAAAATCACAGAAGGAGAGAGTAGAATCAAGGGTTGAGGGAGGGAAGTGGTTGGGGAAATGTTCAAAGTTCGAAAGTTTCAATTAAAAAGGGGGAATAATTTCAAGAGATCTATTGTACAACATGATGATGATAGTTAATAAAAATGTATTATATTCTTGAAAATTCCTAAGAGAGTAGAAAACTGCTAAGAATGTAGAAATAGAAGTATGTCTGTTAATGCATATGCTAATTAACTCAATTAAGACATACCACAATGTATACATATTTCAAGACAATATGTTTTATCCAATAAATTTTTTTTGTCAATTAAACATAAAGAAATTAGTAAAAATACTAACGAGCATAAGCATGAGAACGTATTTAATATCAGACCAAATAATACATGCTCCTTTAAAATTCTTAATGGTTATAAATAAAAAGAAATAAAAATATTAAATAAATCGTGTTCCTTTCATATAGTGGGATATAAGAAACATTAAAATCATGTTTTGAATAATTGCAGATTGTAAACATGAAAGTTGCTCAATCTCACTCTTGGAGAATTTCTCTGTTTCTATACACTGAGAGCTCATTTCTCACCTATCAGATTGGCAAAACATAAAAGTTCTGACAACATGTTCTGTTGGCAAGACTGTGATGAAAGGGACATTCTCGTACACAGATGGTGAGATTGAAATTGGAAAGGGACTTGGACACCACTAGCAAAATTACATATTCAGTCACCTTTGAATCAACAATGTTACTTCTAGGAATCCATATGAAAGTTAGACTGCCAAAATAGGAAGTGACATATATACATGTTTATTTATTCCACCATTATTTGCAATAATAAAAATAAAGAATTAACCCAACCTTATACCATCAAAGGACTAGTTGGACATACTGTCATATGCCTGTATGATATATAACTAATCACCTATAAAAAGAATAATTTTTAATACAAAAATAAAGTCATCTTCAGAATATATATGTGTTAAAATGAAAATAAAAAGTGCAGAATGGTGTTACTATATGCCAAGTTTTGTACAAGAGAAGAAAATATGAATATGTATATTTTCATTTGCTCATGCATTTGTTTATATTTATAATAGTAACCACTGGAAGGAAAAGTCAAAAAGTGATCAAAAAAGAAGTGTTCAAGGATGGATTAAGACTTTCTTAAATGTATAATGCTATGTGGTTTCTGACTCTCAGATGTTTTGTATTTAATAATGTTTTACATAATTATAAATAAAATTAAGGTAAAAAGTCCCAAAAAACTATAAACAACTCACCAATTTAAATATTAGCATAGTGATATCACACAAAAATTGCTTTAAGTGATTGAAAGCACAGTATTTTCATAATGACAAAAGTTGTGTATTTAATCAGATCTTCATACATATAGTTTGTAGTAATATTGGATAAGTTCATTTGAAACCATTTTTGGTAGAACATAAAATTAAAAAGTAAAACTCAAGATATTCATCATAAGAATACATAAAATTGAAGTAGTTAAAACATTGATATTAAATTTGTATTAAAATAACATATCTCAATTTGTTATTTTAATTCATGTTAAGATACATGGAAGGAGACATGTTATTTTAATACAAATTGTAATTTGTATTAATATAACAAATTGTAATTTGTATTAATTTGTAAATTGTAATTTGTATTAAAATAACATGTATCCGACTCCAAAACCCCAGTAGATGGGCAGGGTTATACATCTAGGGTGCCACTGCTTTCCTTTATTTCGCAGACTTCTCTTTATGTTAAGTGCTGCCTGGGGTTATAAGAGAAGAAGGTACATTTTTCATTACTTCACCATCTTTGATTGTAATTTTCTCTCTCCTGGTTGTCTGCTGCTTCTTTGTTTCTTACTGACCAGTGCCTCTCTATAGAATGAATCAAAATGCTGGATTTATCACTGGATACACGTAGAATTTTGGAGAGAAAGCCTGGTGAGATGCTCCTGAACATCTCAGTACCTCCAGGTACTTCCTGTTCAGTTGCCTCTGGGAATTCCTCCATTAACACTCAACCCTCTTAGATCAGGCAAGATAGCTCTCATTGTCCATTTGACTCACAGGAAATGTTTGAGAACTGGCTGCTCAACCCTCATTTCTCTATCTACTTTGCCCTCTCTCTACTATTCTCTTTTTCCATTCTCAGCCTCAAGGAAGATCAACAAGGGCAATCAGCTACTCTTGCAGGAATTAAGATTCCAGGCTTCTCCTTTCAGCCATCCCCTCTTTTAATAAGTAATACTTTTAGGTATCCCTGTCACTTGATCTCTTGCCTTCCCTCTGGTCTTATTTTACAGATTGAGAAAGTGGTCACTTTTCTAAGAAAAGAATCTGTCCCATTGTCAATGTTATCTCCTTAGAGAATGTGGGTACTGAAAAGCATTTTTTTCTTTAACTTTGTGTTCTTGAAGATAATGCCATCATAGTAGAAAAAGTCACATTAACCATTCTCTTACAGTGGTATATGAGATTGGCAAAAACTCAATTTGAATTAAAATAAAAAACTTTCTTAGAGAAATCTAGATGCTGCAGGCAAAGTATACAAAAACCCAGTTCAATTTTACATTAAGAAATCATGAAAGCTTATCAACAGAACAGTATTTTTAAAATGCAACCACAAATTACCAATAAACAGAAAATACTGTGCCCAATAAAAGCAGAGCTGATATAAAAACTTTAGAATGTCAGTGAACATTACTGCAATCTAACTCTACAAGGTATGAGTGCTATAATGTGAATGAGGGTTTAAAGTAGAAAAGTATTTCTCTCTATTGTGTTTTTAGAAACCTTGAGTAATGGAACTCTTCCTCCTTCTGTGGTTCATAATGGAATAAAATCAGAGAAAAATCTACAATAAATTTTGCTTCATAGGACACATAGGTAGAAATTTATGTTGCAAACTAGATTTTATTTTTATATAATTATCTCTAAGAAAAATTTCTATTTTCTCCCATCTGTTGCTTTAAAAGAATATGTAACATGGTTCTCCATCTGCAGAAGCTATTTTTGATATATTCATAAACCTTTATTTTGATGGGTTATTTTTAAATTGTGATAACATTTCTCTTTATTTTATTTCCTCTCCTTAATTTTGATGGGTTATTTTTAAATTGTGATAACATTTCTCTTTATTTTATTTCCTCTCCTTAATTTTGATGGGTTATTTTTAAATTGTGATAACATTTCTCTTTATTTTATTTCCTCTCCGTTATTTTGATGGGTTATTTTGATGGGTTATTTTAAAATTGTGATAACATTTCTCTTTATTTTATTTCCCCTCCTTTTTTCACCAAAGAGAAAAATATACACTTTCAGCTCCAACTAAGTACAAAATTTAAATCATTAGCTCACATTGTCTAGTTATTGAAACTTTTTAGTTCAGATTTAGTGCATTTATTTCCTTAAAAATATAGTAGACAAAGGGTAAAAAAAAGTTCAATGCAGATCTTAATTAAGGTCATAGGGAAAAAAAACTTTTGAGGATTTCACTGTATATTGTTTTGTACCTAAAGGCAATTATCTTCTAAAAAAGAATAGGCCATTAACTCTGAGTTCAAAGAAATCAAGATATTTTATTTTTTAAGGAATTAGTCTATTTTAGTAATCATTTTCTTAACTATCATTGATTCACCCAATCGAGATTACTTCTTAACCTATCATTTACAAGTTTAATTTTAGGTGTTTTTGTGATCCACTCCCACTATAGATACTCAATAAATATTTGTTAAGTGAATGAATAAAAAAAATCTTTAGTTATCGATTCACCCTAATCAGCCTATTCATATAAGTCTCATGGCACCTCATCTCTTCCTATGCTCACCCTCTCTACACAATATCCTTCCAAATATTACCTGAAAAAGAAAGTCTTTTCCTTTTTTTCTGTTCTTGTTGATATTTTCTTTCTTGAATTTTTGGCTTTTTTTCTGTGTTCTCCAAAATAAAAGATGGGGCAACTTGGTTTCTCCATTCATATTATTTTTTTCTTTTTCTTCTTTTGTATTTTCTTAGGTGTATGTATTTAAGCATCTAATTTATGTCTAACTTCAGTTCAAGTTTCTTTATCATCTGGAATTGATTTATTTAATAGGTTTGATTATTTAAACGTTATACACGATCAAGAAGAATTTCAAAACCAATGACTAGTCTTTTATCAATGAGTTTTCTAAAAATATCACTTTTAAAATTTACAGTGTTAAATTTCATTTATTCTAGCCACTGCTATTTTTAGGTATAGGGCTGGGATATTATTTTCCAACCAGCTACTTTATTTTCCATCATTACACACACAAAAAAATCAGATGTTCATTGTTTCTAAGCAAAGTAATACACTTCAAGCTGTATGGCAGTGTGCCATTTTAAATCATTTTCTTTGCACTTCTTGATAATCATGGAATTATATGATATGACACTTATTAAGTAAGATTCCATAATGGCTATTGACTATTTCAAGTGCTAGATAATAAGCTAGAGGGCAAATATGTTAAAACACTCACTATATAAAATGTTGCAATAAGAGAAAAGATTTTATATGGGTATGAAGGATGGCTGCCTGGAGGAAGAAAGCTGGCAGGATTGGAGAAGATTTCCCATAGCAGTTACATCTGACTTAAATTTTCAAGAGGATTGAGAAATTTGCCAAGTTAAGTGGTGAGAGCAGGAGGCTTTCTGAGCAGAGGGAGTAGCAGCTGTGAGTTCATAAAATTGTAAGAGAACATGGCACACTCAAGTACTGTCAGTAGTTAAGTAGAGACATAGTATAATGAGCAAAAGGTATGTGGGGGAGATGCCAAGAGCACAGATAAGCAAAGAAGAGTATTCACATCCATAATGAAGAAGTAAAATTTTATCTTGAATTTTTCTAAGGGGGTGACAAATACTTTTAAAAACTTCACTATGGTGGAAGTAGAATGAATTAGAAGTTAAAAAATTGAGATTAGGAAAACAGTGTATATTTTAACAGACCAAGCAAACCATAATGACAGCCAGAGTGGAGGCAATGAGAATGAATACAATGCTGCATGGACAGGTTCAAGAAATATCAGATAAGTAAAATTTGTAAGTCTTCATTCATCTATTAGATATGTGAATAAGGAACAGGATAACATTGTTTAACTGACACGGGCAACAGAATGGGTAATTAAACTATTAAAATACAGAAACAAATTTTAAGGTTAAGATATTGAGTTAAACTTTAGACATGGAATTTTAAATGAAACCAGCAAATAAATATCTAGTAAGAAGTTAGCTACATGGGTGTGGAGTTTACGCAGTTAGGTTGGACTAGCCAGTTTCAGAGCTATCTATATATTGGTGGGCCATTAAACCAAAGGAGTAAATGAGATTACCTGAGCAAATGGTATGTCAAGGAAGAGAAGAAAACCGAGGATAGAGCTTTGGAGAATACCAGCACTTTAGGGGTCATTAAGAGAAGACAATTTTGCCAGGAAGGTAAAAAGAAATACCCAGACATAAGAGAAACACCAGAGAAACAAATACCATGAAACTAAGAAAGGAGATAATTTTAAGAGGAGAGGAGTGGATGATTAATGGTGACCAATGTACCATGGGTTTGAGTTGCCTACAGACTGAAAAGAGTCATCTGACTCAGCAGCAACAATAGTTATAATGATCTCTGCAAAAATCACTTCAGTGGAATGTCACTTAGAGGAATAACTTCTATCTGGTTTCTGAAATAATTTCTACAGAATGGTTTGGAGTCCTTGAAATTCTGAATTAAGTTTCATGTATTCTTTTAAAATTTCTCTTCAATAGACAGTATCAGAGGAAATTTCATCACTGCCTGATAAGCAGGAAGATGAGAAAATGTTATGGTGTTGCTTCTAGAAGCCTAAGGACATCTTTAGTGAAAGGTTAGTTTCCAGTAGATAATATTGGTGAGATTAAAACCTTTTGAATATAGTAACCAAAATTGAATGTAATCACCATGACTAAATAAGAAAAATGGTCAGCTAGGAGTCTAAGCAGTCATTGATTCAACAAAATATTTGAGTGGCTTCTATGTGACAGGTCCTATGACAGATGTTTATTTATATATATCACATAATCTACCCCATTATCTACTAATAAACTATTAATGATTAGTTTATTTTAATGCTATCTACTATCCTTTTAGCATCTTCTTGATTGCATATTATATTTTAAATTATGTTAATATTTCATTACACAGTGAAGCTCAACGTCAGGAATTACATGTTAGAACACATGTTACCACTGTATGCTGTAATAGATTTTTATTACTGAAGCAAACTGTTACAATGTTATTGGTATATACTGGCTTGACGACTAAATAAAGGAGCCCGAGTACGTTAAAAACTGGAACTTATTAGAGAGTAAACATTTTATCTTTGATTTCTAATTTTTCTTTTTCTTTGGCCCAGACTTCTTGGATGATGCCCAGAGGATGGAGGGACTCTAGACATCTGGCAATAGAAAAAAACAAGAGAATGTTCTTGATACACTCACCATGTCACAGCATTGCAGAGCTCCTCTAAGATGTTACCCACTTTGGGTAGCTGTATTTTTATCCATAATTTATTAGTGAATTGTTATGAAAAAAAAATGCCTGTGTATAAAGCCACTCTGCCAGCTAATCCCCAGAGGAATCTTTACTGGAACTATTACTTTAATGAACAAAGCATTCCTACAGAGCATGACTGTGAGGTACAACATTCAATAGTGCTTCATTCCTCTTTATTGTCGAGTAGCTTTGTGATAAAATAATGAAAGCAGCATTTACTTCAATTTGACACTCTACGTATACTTTGCCATATCAAATGCTCATTTTCAAACTAATAGTATTAAAATATGAAAAATTAATGGGAAAAAGCAATATCCTCACACTGCCATTGTCACTGTTTTCCATGTTGATGCTCATGCATCTTCGGCTTTCTCTTGACAGACTATTTAATCAGCGGGCAGATCAACAGGGCAAAATTCCCACCATAACTGCAAACTTGAATGTGGATGAGTGGATTACAATAAGTTTAAGTCTTGCAATGAGAGGCATCATAATGTATGGTGATATAATTGATAGTGATTACCAGGGAGAGTTAAAGGTCATTTTATATAATACCACTCCAGATTCTTTTGCTATATAACCTCAGATGCGGGTTGCTCAATTGTTAGTGGTACCTTGTCAACAATTAACCCCCAAGGAAATTTCTGCCCCAATAGAAATAACATACAGAACCGGAGAATTCAGGTCCACCAAAGGGGGCAACTTAAATCTTGGAGCCAAAATATGGGTACAGTGTCCATCAGATCCTGCCCCTAAGGCTTGTGACCTTGTAGCTATAGGGGCAGAAAATGAAGGCATAGTACTATTTCCTAACGAAGAAAAATAATGCATCCTCCCCTCCATTTTTGTTATTACAGAGAATAACCTGTCTGCTAGTAATCAGTACCTGGGTCATCATGTCTTAGGCTGAGAATGAGTTCATCAACTGGGTAGCCACCGTTGCAACGCAAGCCAACTGCAGTCGGTACTGGCTATGTGTGGAGTTGCCGCGGGAGGCCCCCAGGAATGGGCTACCTTGGAGAATCATCCCTGCTAACATTTCTGGATGGATATGCCAATACCAATGGGGGTGGGATAATAACACTTGTAATCCAACCTGGACTTCTTTTAACCAAACAGTCTATTTTGCCCAAACCCAAATGAGACACAGCACCTTTGTTACTTAAATTACACATGACAGCAATACAATTATAGTAGAACTCTTCCTGTTCCCTGGGCGCCCTCTGGGCACGTGGATCCTACGGGTGGCAATACCTGCCCCCACTTGGACGGGGAGATGCACTTCAGGGTGGCCATTAATTACATTCAACATCCAGGATAATAGTCCCCTCCCCAGTAATCTAGATGCTTACAAACATCACTGATTATGAATGCACCAGACCCCCTGGTGGTGGTACCCCATCACAGTATTCTCCCCTGCCACCGGTACAATCCTGCTTCAGCAACAAATTAAAATATTGAGCTTACACGTACAAAAAGCTCTTAATGATAGTAGCACTGGACTTACGTTGTTATAAGATGAATTTGCTCAGCTGCGTACTGTTATGTTGCAAAATCGAATGGCATTAGATATGCGTACCGCAGCCCAAGGAGGGGTTTGTGATTTACTGCATATTGAATCTTATGTGTATATCACTGGCAATTCTCACAATATGACTCTCCTTGCAAAGCCATGGTGGGTGTGGTATTTTATTAATTGTGCTTCTAATTCTCCTGTGCTTACCCCGTATCTGTAATCTATATCGACTATGCCTTCCCTATGTATCTGTAAGGGTATTTTCCTACAATTGAGTATCAGATGGAGGCCGACTGTGAAGGGAAAGTTAAATATTAAATTTGAACTCAATTGAACATGGACACAAACAACAGTCACCAAGTCCCGAAACAGGTTGTGTGAGCTCCTTGAGGCATTCATCCAGCACTGTTTCAGAGAAATCTCTATTTCAATCTATTCCTATATGTTAGTTATCGGAAAACAATAGACAATCACAAAAACAAGTTGACCTTTTTGTGTTCCTTGAGCCCAGTCACAAAGAGCCCTCTTGACTGGACCTTATGCGAAACAACTCATTACAAAAAGAGTTAGGGTCCCAGACTGCGCCGAAACTTCATGAGACCTCTCCTCGCCTGTGCACAGACATGAGTGGCCAACTCTGGAGCCGAGACTGTTGCTTCCCAGTCTGGTGGTGAATCCTCCATAGTCTGGTGAGTGTAAATATCTTTTCCCTTCTCCCTTTCCCATTGCAATTTGCTTATCATATCAATCTGCTTACTGTATCATCTGCTTATTATTATATCATTTGCTTATTATATCAATCTGCTTATTATATCATTTGCTCATTACATCTGCATTGCCATTTACATGGGATAAAGGTTTTTTACCCTTTAAGGTAGTGTGTGTGTGTCTTTTCTTCTCCCTCCCGTGTTTCCCACACAGAACAGGAACTTACTAGGTCGAAAACATTTATTACTACTTAAAGGTAAGGATACCTATAATAAAATATGCTGTTCAGGGAGATATAGAGAGAATATAATATTTTGAATACAGTAACTAAAACATAATACAAAAACGCAAACTGAATAAAAATAGTGGTTGACTTTTCAATGTTTGAAGGATATGAGTTCTATCTAAAGTCACTTACACCCAACACACACATACACAGGAACACACACAAACTACCATCACCACAAAATCTTATTTGGCTACATTACTACAGAAGATATCTGTAACACTTATGTCTCAAAGAGAATGTAGCAACATGAAATTAAACACAATATGAACAGCACCCAAACTGAGGCAAGTGTGGAAATTATTGTGATGTGACTGTCTAAATTAAATTAGAAATAATCCTATTTTATCCTTTGATACAGCCTTTGGGCATATGGATCATATGGCATCATCCTGAGTTGTAGGAGTGGGGTAAATGTAACCATAAAATTACATTAACTCTTTAGAAATATCTATATGAACTAGGTAAAACTAGTTAAATTTCTTTTTTTGTTGTTTTTTATGTTTGTTTTTGTTTATTTTTTATTTATTTATTTTTTACTTTTGAGAGGGAGTCTCGCTTTATCGCTCAGGCTGGAGTGCAGTGGCACGATCTTGGCTCACTGTAACCTCTGCCTCCCAGGTTCGAGCAATTCTCCTGCCTCAAACTCTCAAGTAGCTGAGATTGCAGGTGTGCACCCCTTTGCCCGGCTAATTTTTGTATTTTTAGTAGAGATGGGGTTTCACCATGTTGGCCAGGCTGGTCTGAAAGTCCTGACCTCAAGTGATCTACCTCCCTTGGCCCCCCGAAGTGTTGGGATTACAGGCGTGAGTCACTGCACCTGGCCAACCAGCAGCCCAGCCATTAAATTTCAATTTATATTTCAGTAAGTGTAATGAATACAATTACTGTTTATTATATGAAGGTATATAATGCTTAATATATAAAGGCACAGATATATGCATTTCCATGTTTTACAGGAATGTAAATACATTTGTATATATTATGTGTGTATATCTCTGTGTGTATTTATGTTTATAACCCTGTCCCCATAGTTGTTTCTATTTAAATAACATCATATTTTACTTCAACTTATACTTTCAGTTTCTGGCACAATTTGGGTATTTAAATGCATATTAATGGATTATTTTCTACTCCAAAGTACATATTTCAGACAGCTAATAATCTTTATTTACATTAAATAATTATATAATATTAGAATTGAAAAGATTATTAAAGCTCATAATACCCATTTTATAGATGAATGAAATTAGTCACAAAAAGGTAAATTTGCTAAATGTCACACAGTACTTATTTTTAATATGATTTAAATTATTTGGTTGTGAAGACATTATTCTAACTAAAATTTACTGTAAAGTAAATCTGTATACATTTTTCCAATTAATTATAGATATAAACACCATTTGCATTAATGACACTTATTTCTCCTGTCTCTAAAGATGCTAGGTTTCGTTCTCTTTTTTTTAAGACAAGGTCTCACTCTGTCACCCAGGCTGGAGTACAGTGGTGTGATGACAGCTCACTGCAGCTATAATTTCCTGGGTTCAAGCAATCCTCCCACATTAGGCTCCTGAATAGCTAGGACTACAGGTGCACAGCCCCACACCTGGCTAATTTTGTGTGTGTGTGTGTGTGTGTGTGTGTGTGTGTGTGTGTGTGTGTGTGTGTGTGGAGATGAGGTCTCACTCTGTTACTGAGACTGGTCTTGAAATCCTGGGCTGAAGTGATCCTCCTGCCTTGGCCTCCAAATGTGCTAGGATCACAGGTATGAGCTATGGTGCCCAGCCTAGAGTTGCTAGTTTTTTGTTTGTTTGTTTGTTTGTTTGTTTTAGTTGCTAGTTGAGTCTATACCATTTCTTAGTTGTAGGTCTTGTTTCTGTCTTTTTACTTTCCTTTCCTGTTCACTTCATGTACGGTTACATAATCGATAGTGTTTTAATATATTACAACATAGCAGGGACTTCAAGATTCTCTGATTTTTCTCCCCAAGATCAGCCATTCCAGTTTAAGATCTTGTCCTGTTTTCATATAGTTCTCTACAAAGTTGACTGCTGCTGCTGCTTTTGATGTTAATCTTAGTCTCTGAACTCTATAGAATTTCTTTGACTTTGTGCTTTTGTTTCATGTACATGTATTATATGACTTTGCTGAATTCATTTTCTTTATTTGTGTAGCATCCTGCACTTTGTTTTGGTCTTTTCATGAAAAACAGCCCCCAGGCCTCTGGACTGTGACAACTTGGCCACTGTAGAAAGTTCCTTCACTTTTCATATATACATTTTTTTCCTTCTCTCTGTATAGGCTACACATTCCAGACACGTAACTATGTACTTACCAGAGCTCCTCTTCAGTCTGATTGACTGACTAATCCCACACAGCCTGTTCCAAATCTTTCGATGAACCATAGACATGCATAACACCAAGATTTTGTGTGAGAACAAAACCCTTACTTGAAGAGAAACACATAAAAGTGATTTTCATGAAAACAAACAGATCCTGCTTTCTGGCTTTTCCACCTTATCTGCTTCAGATGTGATAGCAATAGCCCTATTTCGTTAAATGTCTCATTGGTTAACTCATTCATTTATTCACTCATTCAACAAATATTTACTGGGTGTCAACCATGTGCGAGACACTATTCCATCTTCTGACACTATATAGACATTATATAGTGGAGAGGGACAAAAATAAACAAATAAATAAATAGCATATTTAGAGAGTCAGGTGGTGATGTGTTAAGGAAAATTAAGCAAGGAAGGGACCAGAAGTATTGAGTAGTGAAGATACCGCTTTTAAACAGGATCTTAAGCTCTCACTGAGAAGGTGGCACCAGAAAAAAAGCTTGGAATAAGGTTTATTTCCATGAAGAATCCATGGTAAGATGTTCCAGACAGTGGGACTGGGAGTTGCAAATGCCCTAAGGTGGGAAACAAACCTGGTCCTTGACCTGTTCAAGACCTGGATTGATTTACAGTGGGAAGGTCAGAGTTGACCAAACATAGCTAGATAGTAGAATAAAAGTATAAGATGTGGTCAAGGTAAAAACAAGGGCCAAGATCAGGTCAAATTCTGTAAATTGTGAGAGTTTAGACTCTGAAAAAAAATGGAAGTCACTGAAGAATTTAAGCAGAGGAGTGACAGAATCTGATTTGGGATTACTGTGATGGAAACATACTGAGTGGTGGCAGGCAGGTCAAAGGTGGAAGCTCAGGGACCAATTAGAATTTTATTGCAAAGATACAGAGAAGTGATGGCATCTAACCAAGGGTTGTAGTGGTGGAGGTGGTGGGAAATGATTAGAATCTAAAATATTTTGAATGTAGAATCATAACAATTTGCTGACACACTGGAAATGATGTGTAAGAAAAAGAGAAGCTAATAATGACTCCAAGGCTTTTGGCTTGCACAACTCTCAACTGGACATGTGGAGTTGCCATTTACAGAAATGGGGAAGTCTAACAGGAGGAGATAAAAATCTGGAAGGAAAATTATTTGACTTTGATTTTGAGTTTGATTTTGGAAGTATCCATTTTGAGATGTCTATTATACATTCAAGTAGTGAGGTTATGCAGACAATTGAATACACAAATCTGGAGTTTAAGGAAAGGTCTGGAGCAATAAATGTAGAAGTCATCCATGATGGTATTCTATGTCAAGGAAGTGAGGTAGCACAGAGAACAGGAATAATCTAATGACTAAGCACTGAAAGTCTTCAATGTCTCTTAACCTCTCGGTCTGGGACAGAGCCATCTAAAGGAAGAAAAAAAAAGAATGGCTCATGTTGTAGGAAAAAAGAAACACGACAAAGTGATTTCCTAAAACAACAAAAAATGAATGGAAAACAGTATCACAAATCATTCTTCTAAGAACATGAGGACTAAGTATTTGCCATTGGGTTTAGCAGATGTAATTAAGTGGGAACCTTGCAAGAGCAAATAAACCGTCCAGAAACAAGGTAAGCATTGTTTTGTGGAGAAGAAAGAAAATAATTGCTAGAACCATGGACTTGAGATAATAGTGTCTTGAGTTGTGGTGTAGTATCACTGAAACCAAACCAGCTGAAACTTTTAAATCTTCAAATAATTCATACCAATTTTGTATGTAATATACCCATCATGTTTATTCATCCAAATTCATAATTTCCAACCATCTAGTAGCTGCAGTTCTCCTAGGTTATCTCTTTAACTTAGAAGATTTAAAATTGTTGAGAAAGAGCCCTTAAATAATCATGCCAAAATTACATCTGACCCCTCTATAATTTTTGCAGTTTATCTAATGGTAGATGCGAGGTCCATCAATAGGGAAAGTTTTTCTGGGGTTTCCAAGATCTCTGGCAGAAAGAAGAAGACATTTTTCATTTAGTGTTCCTAATGAGTTGGGATATGAACTCCTGCTTCATTATCTGGGGTCTGGTCCCACATCATATCTTGTCTCTTCTCATGTGAGTTTTCCTGAATAGGATTCCATTTTTAATCAAACAAAACTATCTCTTCATCACTTCTAAAACAAACTCCTGTTTCCTTTCCTTCTAGTAAGCTCTAAAGGTTGCTAGAACAGTCTGGATTTTTCCTGCTCCCACTGTGCCTTCAATTGTGATTATCTGACCTTTTCTCTGTCTTCCTCTTTTCTTCTCTCTTCATTTTCACAGAGCTATGTTGTCCTTTCTTCCACATGACAGTTTGGTACAAGACCATGAACATTCATGAGTAATAAACCCTATTTATTTTTTATTTTTTTATTTTCTGTTTTGGGAGGACAGAGTCTCATTCTGTTGCCCAGGCTGGAGTGCAGTGGCATGATCTCGGCTTACTACAGCCTTGAGCTCCTGGGCTCAAGCAATCCTTCTGCCTCAGCTTCCCAAGTAACTAGGACTACAGGTGCATGCCACCATACCTGGCTTCTTTTTTCATATCTTGCAGAGACTAGAGTCTTACTTTGTTGCCAAGGCTGGTTTCAAACTCTTGCCCTCAAGCAATCTTCAACTTCAGCTTCACAAAGCACTGGAATTACAGGCATGAGCCACCATGCCTGGCCTTAAACCCTAAGATTTTGAATACATTAGAGCTAATAACTATATATGAATTTAAAGATAGAAATTATAATTTTTACATAGCCACAGATACAATTTTATCACATAACAAGTATAATAGTTGGAAAATTCTGTGATTACCGCATTAATAAGTTAATTAATGAAAAATATATTTTATGTATAATATATAATTTAAATTACCAATTTAATAACTAGAATGGATAGTATTTAAATAATAAATTATGGGCATAATAGTGCCTAACATTTGCATAGTGACATAGCAATTATGAAATGGCTTCACTATATCAAATGGACTTTCAATTAGTAGAGCCTGATTCTGGACTTCTACACTGTTGCCAATATGAGAAAAAATGGACTTTGTACTGTCCTCCATGTAGTCTATGGGGTATGATAAAGAGTTTTTAACACTAGACAGAATTTGAAATTCGGATAGCTTGACCAGTTAATGAATTACTCTGAAAGGCTAGGAAGAAATGAATTATCCTCATTTGGAAATCACGGGTACCATGTTGAGCTCACTAAGTTAAAAATGCATTATCTTATAATAGTCTTTATCTTGCTAATGATATAACCAAGTCTAATTGGAGAGAAAGAGAGAGAGACAGAGACAGAGGAAACAGTGTCTTAGAAGTCATTCTCGCTGGGCGTAGTCCTCATGCCTGTAATCCCAGCACTTTGGGAGGCCAAGGCAAGCAGATCACTTGAGGTCAGAAGTTTGGGACCAGCCTGGCCAACATGGTGAAACCCCGTCTCTACAGAAAATACAAGAATTAGTCAGGCGTGGTGGCAGGCACCTGCAATCCAAGCTACTCGGGAGGCTGAGGCAGGAAGATCATTTGAACCTGGGAGGCGGTGATTGCAGTGAGCCAAGAACACGGCCACTGCACTCCAGCCTGCGTGACAGAATGAGGCTCCATCACACACACACACACAAAAGGCATTTTTGACGCTTCTTCTTTCCTTATATTTAATATAGTTAAAATACTGAGTTCTATAGATTTAACCTCCTAAATAGCTCTTAAGTGTATCAAAAAATTATAGAGCCACCATCCTTGCTTAGGCTACCATCTCTCTTGTCTGGGCTGCCATAATAGCCTAATAACTGATATTCAGGCTTTGATGGCTCCATTAAATATTTTATTCAAATAGCGAAGTAGTCTTTTTAAAGTAGGAATTTGACTATGTTCCCTCTGATTCCGATTGTTGAGTCTAAAACAGTCACTTATGACATACCCTAATGTCTTCTCTAGCCTGCTCTCAATCCTTCTTCTCACCTTTTCTATGTAATAATCCACATAATTGTTCAGAAAATTGTTCTGTGATCATTTTGACAAATATGACAGATAACTATGTATTTAGTCCCAGTCTGCCCCAATGAACAGAAACCTGCCTTATAACCATTACGTTTCTCAGTATGAATTTGATATTTATCAGCTGTCCTTCTAACAATAAAATCTGACCAATAATATCTAGTAAGAAATATTGTGGAACATATAGAGAAGTCTCCTTAAAGTAAAACATTATGTCTTCTTTCTCTTTTTCCATTACTGGCTGAATGTACTTGGGATGGCTTGGTTCTAGCTAGCATTTTGGACCATGTGGGTGACAGCCTCAACCTGAGGCTTTTAGAAGTCCCAGAATACCTTAGCATTACTACCAAATGAGCCATAGACTATCCACTTAAAAAGTCCTCTTATTTGAGGGAAAATTGATATGGTTTGGCTGTGTGTCCCCACCCAAATCTCATCTTGTGACTCCCATAATTCCCACATATTGTGGGAGGAACCCAGGTGTGAGACGATTAAATTATAGGGATGGCTCTTTCCCATGCTGTTCTCATGACAGTGAGTGGGTCTCACAAGATCTGATGGTTTTAAAAATGGGAGTTGCCCTGCATAAGCTCTCTCTTTGCCTGCTGCCATCCACATAAGATGTGACTTGCGCCTCCTTGCCTTCTGCCACGTGGAACTGTAAGTCCAATAAATCTCTTTCTTTTGTAAATTTCCCAATCTCGGGTATATCTTTATAAGCAGTGTGAAAACAGACTAATACAAGAATTATACTTAAATCTCAAATAAGTTACTATTTTGGAAATCTCCTTGGCTCATGATGGAAACAAATTCTCACTGGTGTACAGTTTTTCAGATCTTGGCTCAAGTGTCACTTCTAATTCCCCAACTAGGACAGATTTCTCTGTTAAGTGTCCTTCTAGAAGTCAACTTCTTTCATTCGGAATATTTGCCTGTTCATAACTATAGATTCATTGTTGTGCTTATTTAATTAATATTTTATTCTCTACTTGGTTACTTCACAAAACTTACCTATTTCAAATCTTGCAATTAACTTAGGTGAGAAAATATTGCAACATTTTTAAGATACAAAAACTGAGCTTCAGAGATGTTAATGTATCAATGAAAATTTTCTGACTCAAGTTTGGTGCTCATTTCATTATTCCACAGATGTCTCAATAAAAAATATTAGGCACAATTTTCTCATCAAAAGGTGCAATACATTTTTTTGATGAAGAGGAAAAGATTAATTTAATTAAACGAACTTATTAAACAAAATGGAAATCTTGGATACGCAATTCTTTACATTTAAATGTATACCAATGATATTCTTATAAATAAATTGCATTTATGTTTACCAAACATTTTCACACAGTATCCATCAGTCATTTTTGCAGTTACTCAGAGATTAGTGTAATTATCTTATTTTTGTATAAAAAGAAACTGGGTCTTAGTGATTTTAAATGATTTAAGCAATATCACTATGCCACAGAGGCAGAACTGCAACGGTTATCCAAAGTTTCTGACACGCTGCTTCTCACTATATCTGCCTTCTGCATATAAAGCATGTAAAGATCTGTTTCTAAATGTCCTTTTGTATTTGCTGACATGAATTTATATAATGGTTATGTTTCTGGCTTCAAAATGAAATTGCTCACTTTGAGGAATTTCATTAGTACTTGGCCACATGAACATCAATTTGAGTCCCTGTGCTCGGAAGTAACTTTCCGTTGCTCCTGAATGAAATTCGCGTATTATTCATTCTCTGGGACTAAAATCCTCAAAGTATTCTGAAAATGCTACTGTAACTGAAAAGTGCCAATATATTGTAATTATTGATTATTAATACTTTAATGATAATAACAGAAAGAGTAATAATAAAAGTGTCATGGAAACACTGAGCAAAATGGTTCTTAACAAGAGAAAACACTGGCATAACACGAAGAGTTTTTTTCTTAAATGCATATTCTGAAAATCATTTTTAAAAGTTCTGATTCAGTAGGCATTAGTAATTCTTTCGAAGCACTTCAGGTGACTTGATTGTCTTGTTTCTACTTCAGCTGACTCAGAAATTCATCATCTAACAAACTACAAGGAAACAGGACATAGAGCAGGTAAATTTTTATGGGGAACAGTGGTTAAAAAGCAAAAAAACTGGAGTACGTGTTACATGACAATGAGGAATTGGCTGGGTAACCAAGGAATAAGGAGGAGGAACTGAATGATCAGATGAGACAGTACGAAAGACAGAAAAGATTTAGAAGAATATAAGCAATCTGCGAAGCAAAATTAGGCAGTTAAAACTTTTGTATTGGAGAAAAACATCCTTGTGTACATACAAATTTTGACATCACTCTCTATGCAAATTTTGTGTGTGGTCTAGTAGTATATAATGTTGCTTGTTTTTTATTAGTACATTAATAATTGATGGCATATGTATCTATGAAATACATTTTTAAATAAAGTTAAGCATTCAAGTATAAAGTACAAAACTCATGAAATGCAGGCAAGAATTCTCCCAAATAATATTAAGTTAGATACGTGCAATACTTTGGATTACAAGTTAGGTAAGAAAAAAAAACTAATATATTCAGTGTATGTGATGCAGTCATGTTAATGATGATAATGAAAACCATAACTTCTGTAGGTCTTGACTTTCTATTTTTAAAGTTGCAGCCTTAATATTGCATTAGCATATTCTTTCCATTTAATTTAGAAATGTGTTTCTAAAGGTTGTAAATTGACATGACATTACTTTCTTAGCTTTGTGGTAACACCATGACTTCATGATCACTGACTATTTAGCACTGAGAAAACAGGATTATAAGGAATTGAACTTATATGTGTGCCTGCAAAATGCTAATGTGGCAGCTGCCTGGAGCCTGCAGTCTGCTTTGGATTAAGAAGTAAAATAAAATTGAATATGCATTTCCTCAGCCTTACTTAATCACTTACAAATCACTTGTAATAGAAAACAAAAAAATGCTTCTGTTCTACTTTGCAACCTAGAAACATATGCTGTTTTAAATGTTATTTTTCCCTCTCTGGCTCACCCTATCTCAATTAAGATATTCATTATATCCTTTTTACTATTGGGAATCCGTTGATTCCAAGACATAGGCGTAACAGAACTAGAAGCAATCTTACAGATCATTTAATGCAATTTACTTATTTAGACCTTAGAAAAATAAGCCCCTTAGAGATAAAGTGATTTGTCCTAGGTTAGACATCTTGCAAATTACAAAGCCAAGATTAGACCCACCTGTCATAAGAGCCTGCTGCTGGTTTTCAACCTTCCTTGGTACACATCTGACTGCGACCTTTGTGTATATTAACCTGTGCGTCCTTGGGAAAGATACTTAAGCTCTCTGAGCCTCATTTTCTTGATCTGAATCTACCTCATAGGATTGCTGACAGAATGAAGTGAGTTACTGAAACACTTAGAGCAGTGCTTGGTTCCATATATATTATCTGCTATATAAACGTAAGCCATATATACACAAAATATTAGTAACCTATAATATATTGATAAATTAAATAACATGCAAAATAAACAAATAAAATATAAAATATTCATAACATGTAGCACAAAAAAACTGATACACAATATTAGTGATTACCATCTGGAAAACAAGAAGTAATCTTTGTCTTTCCCCAAATTCCCATTGACTATTAATTTTCGTTATACATTATACAGCTTTTCTTTATTGAAAAATTATGTAATTATTTAACTGAAATATTTACAGGATGTTTACTCAGTTATCTGTATGATTTCTATACCTAGATAAACTTTCAGTCTTTGCATGTTATTTTATCCCTAGTTTTATACATTATGTTATCTCTGAGGTGAGGATTATGTATAACATTAGGGAGATAATGTTTTTCACCGACTAAAGTGATTTATATAAAACTATGAGTTTAATCATTTGCATGTAAACCCTTTATCTTCCTCTTTTTGAAATTTTCTTTCTCTTTACCCCTTACTACTGTCTCGTCTTGGGCCATCACTTCTATTAAGGAGCCGATGCAAAAGACAGTGGTAATCCAACAGCTTCTTCTCTTTCCTCAGTGGATCAAATACTTGTAAGGATCATTATTCTTCTTATTAATGGCTCATAGGTTTCATCAACCTACTTTCTTTCTTTTCCTCTTTCATTTCTTCTTCATATTTCTTAAAGTGTTATCTCACAAAATCATATATACACACATATGTACGTATTATGGGCATATGTGGAAAATTATCTATACTAAATACACACACACACACACACACATATAGCTTATTGCATATCTACATGCTTATTTATATCATCTCTCCAAGTCATGACTATAAAATAGCACAGGAATTCCAGGACCTCTAGATTATTTACAACTACTAGTATATGAATATTCAGGGATCACTCTGGAAGCCTGCCATAACTATTAAGTCATGAGTAATTTTTCTCAAACAGAAAAAGTTTTCTAAAATAAGGGCAAAGTACATGTATCTGTGTTCTAGTATCAACGGCCATGTTTTGTTTATGAGGCCTGAGATGCTACTCCCAGTCTTTATTTCACTCCTTAATTAACCCAAAAAGAACAAAAGACTAAGTCCTACATGTACAGTTCATAAAGCTCTTTAATATTTGTTCTTCATGTCAGTTGTGCGAAGAAAGAATAGAAACTAACACCATGTTCCAGGTGAGCATCATGCTCAGAGAGCCTCTGCTACTTCCACAAAGGTTAAAAGCTGATAAGCACAAATGTTCAAATCAAAGTCAGATCTGCTCATTTAGAATTCAGTGCTATGTTCCCAAGAAAAATCTTTCAAAGATATCCTCTATTTCTTCTTCTTCCATATGTGCTTGCTTTTCTGTAAGCATTAATAGTTGCCACATTTTAATATATTTTATTCAATTTTGCCTTAATGTTTGTTTGATTACCAGTATTGTTCTGTGTTGTCTGTGATAATTCAGTGAAAAAATACACCATTTCTGTTTGTCTTATCAAAGGTAGTTACGATATATTCAGAATTTCTAGCCATAACTTGTACATTTCCTATCCTTTTGTTTTGTTTTGTTTTGTTTTGAGATGGAGTCTCAGTCTGTCACCCAGGCTGGAGTGCAATGGTGTGGTCTCAGCTTACTGCAACCTCTGCCTCCTGGGTTCAAGCGATTATCCTGCCTCAACCTCCCAAGTAGCTGGGACTACAGGTGCATGCCTCCATACCTGGCTAATATTTTTGTATTTTTAGTACAGACGGGGTTTCACTATGTTGGCCAGGCTGGTCTCGAACTCCTGACCTTGTGACCTGCCGTCCCCCCACCCCCCCGGCCTCGGCCTCCCAAAGTGCTGGCATTACAGGCGTGAGCCATCACACCCAGCCTCAACTTGTACATTTCCTGTACAAAAATACATTCATATGGTCAGGTGTGGTGACTCACTCCTGTAATTCCAGCACTTTGGAAGGCAAAGGCAGGCAGATCACTTGAGCCCAGGAGTTCGAAACCTGCCTGGGCAACATGGTGGAAGTCTGTCGCTACAAAAAATATTAAAAAATAGCCGGGCATGGTGGTGTGTGCTTGTAGTCCTAGCTACTTGGGAGGCTTGGCAGGCAGTGGGGGGAATCCTTTGAGTACAGGAGGTGGAAGAGGCAGTGAACCCAGATCACATCACTGCACTCCAGCCTGGGGAACAGATTGACATGCTATCTCCAAAAAAAAAAAATCATTATAAGAATAAATTTTTAAAAATAGGCTTTGGGGTCAGATCTAATTTTTTAAATTTTATGTTGTGAATATTACATATAGCTGTTGATATTCAAGCCTCATCTCATTATAGTTATATCAAAATAGATTATGATACATTATGATGAAACTTAGTTAAAAGTTATACTGGAGCCATATTAGATCTTGATATATTAAAGATGTGTTCATTTACCTTATATTAATTATAGAATGAATAAATTCATAAGTTCTTTCACACCCCATTGTCACTCACAAAACCCCATCCTTGATAGTGTTAGTTAGATAATGGATCACTATGAAGAGAGTAACAGAAATTCTAATTTTGGTTTTGCCTCATATGAGATTTTGCATTCCCAATAGAGCATATCACAAATGTAATTAACTCTCAAGTATCATAGCAACTAAAATTTAATTTTAATAAAATGATATATTCTGTAGCTGCATTTACAGTACAAATAAAAATAATCATAGGCTAGTTCAGTATAAGTGTTGGTCAAATTAGCCACTGATAATAATAGCAAATATTTGTATAATTCCTACTTTTTTACATACCAGCCTAGGAAAAATCAATTTAACTATATAATTTACATAATGCAAAATATATCTGCTTATCTATGTCTATCTACCTCTTCCCTTTTAACACTAAATTATGAGTCAGTTTGTAGGAATTTTATCAAGTCTAACAAAATATTTTTAGAAACAGCAGAACCACAGAGAACCCAAATCCGAATGTTAAGATTGAGATAAAAATAACATAAAATGTTTTACAAGCTTTAATTTTATTTATAAAAATTATGGTTCATTCTTAAATTTGGCTGTAAAACTTCAGACAACCAAAACAAAAAGAACCATATTCCTGTCACATACTTCTTAATTAATACAGAAAAAGTACACAGCAGCCTCAGAAGTAGCAAAGCTTTTCAAGCAATTAACTCTAAAGGTAAGTATTCACTTGCGCTTTACAAAAATGTAGTGGATAATGTTTTAAATAACATTATGCAACATTTTAAAATCATTAAGGCTGTTTCGTGTGGATTTTTTCAATGAAAACATGAAATTAAATCAAATGTAATTCAACGAAATATGTTCTTCAAACAGATCTGGGGCTTACGGGTCACCATGACCACAGTGAAATGAAAAAACAAAAACCAAAAAAAAAAAGAAAAAGGAAAAATTGAAATTGTGACCACTGTAAATATGACAAGCATATCAAAACATTACTGTGTCAGCTGTATAACTATTGTTCAAGTTTTAATATGTTATGACAGTGTAAGTTGATGATTTTCAAAATTAATGGAGGATATAAAATCAAAGAAAGTCTATAAATGCCTTGCATGCATTATTCTATGTCATTCAGGTTGTCTTTTACTCCCTCTAGTATACATTTAGTACACAATTTTTTTGTTTTGGCTTAGTACTGGAACTCCTTTCCTGAGAGGCTTAAGGAAAATTACCCATTTTTACACTATGCTCAAACCCTTTGGAGTCTTAACATAACTACTCTTTTTTTTTTTTTTTTTTTTGACAGAGTCTTGCTCTGTGGCCCAGGCTGGGTGCAATGGCGCAATCTTGGCTCACTGCAACCTCCGCCTCCTGGTTCAAGAGGTTCTTCTGCCTCAGCCTCCAGAGTAGCTGGGACTACAGGTGCGTGCCACCATGCCCGGCTAATTTTTTGTATATTTAGTAGACATGGAATTTCACTGTGTTAGCCAGGATAGTCTCGATCTCCTGATTTGTGATCCACCCGCTTTGGCCTCCCAAAGTGCTGGGATTACAGGCGTGAGCCATCGTGCCCAGTCATAATTACTCATTTTTACACTGTGCTTCTAGTAGGGAACCAAATATAGTTCAGGCGGTCATTTTTCAGATTGATTCAGAAATAAAATTGTAAATATCCAGATGAAAGAACTGGCTGCCCAAAGATTAAACATTCATCATATAGTACTAATATAATACAAAATTTAAAGGTGGATTATGCTGAATATTAATGTTGACTTCTCAACCATCATCCCACCTCAGATGACGGGTCTAAGTCAATCTTGGAAATTGCTTATTTCTTTCTAATGATAGCTGGTCAGTGTGATATGAAGGTTGGTATACTAGGAAGCTTCTAAGAAAATCTGCCTCAACTGGAGGAGGATTATCATTTCTAGATGCGATCTCTTATTTTGACCTGAGAAGGAAACCAACATTAACCATGGAAAGCACTGAAACAAAGTGGGAAAATGCAAAAACCCTGCATTCTATAAAATAATTGAGCAAAGAAGTCAAGCATCTCTCAAATCTGTCCTCTCTCTGCATTACTATGTGAGGCAATTAATGTACCCTTTGAGTTGGGTCTTGTCATTTGTACCCCTGAACACCCTCATTAGCACAAAAATAAATGTTCATTTAAAAATAAAGTTGGTGTCCTTCCTCTCCTCTCCCCTCTGGGAAACACTGTATTTACAGACGGCTAGTGTAAAACCAATTAATTAGTAACCAAGTGTAACTATGCCAATTAGTATGCTACCAAAAGGCCTGACATGCCAAATTTGATCTTCCTAAATAATAATATTACTTGGTTGTACCTAATAATTAGACTCCCCTAATTTGTGTCTGAAATATTGCTTACTTAGTAAATTTAGTGAATGACTCTTTTATCGTTTTCAGAATGATAGCCTCTATAAACAAAACTTAACTTTCAACTGTGTTTTATGAATCCTTATTAATGGTTTAACAACATGTGAAACAATCACAACAACTATCAGATTTACAACCTCATTAACTACTGATTGGTAGATAAACGCTCATTTGCAATAAATTTCATTCTAGTACCAAAAATGCATTCATTAAACCACTGGTATAAACCAGATTATTTAAAGAATGTTTGCTAGTGTTACCCAACAACTAAAAAAAAATTGAAGAAATTAACTGGACAAGGTTGTATTGCCCATATTAGTTTTTCAAAGGTAAAAAGATGGCATATTTCTGTTTAGATATATACACACACATATGCACACAAACATCTCGCTATGTAGAGAGACAGCGAGAGCTCTTTCTCATCTTATGTTAACTTATAAACATATGAATACACAACATGTGTACCAAACATACAATATATGCATGTTTCACACACACATGCACACACATAATCATACTCAACTTGTGCTGCATAATGAAATAATCAGTGTCTGAAAAAATGACAATTATCCAATTTTCATGTATTATTTTACATTCTTATTTATAAAATTATCAGGGAAAATAGCATGTACTTACAGCTTATAGATATTTGTATATGTTAATATTTATACTAGAATTTTCATTTCTCAAAATAATTTTACTCTGAATTTAAGCACATTAAGAGTAAGTATGTTACTCTGCAGAGCAGAATTGTACTACGTAACTATATGATACATGAAGGAGTTCTAAAAATGAAGCACCAATTAATTGAATGTTCATAAATATTACAGTTTATTCTAAATTTTTAATTTTTGGTTTGTTCTAACCTAGCTATTATAGAGTTTTTTAAAGTATTGTATTGCTCTTTAGGTAAGTATATAGATACTTCTCACCTGACCATTTTTCAATTGCAACTCTTTTTTTTTTTTTTTTTTTTGAGATGGAGTGTTGCTCTCTTGCCCAGGCTGGAGTATAGTGGCGCGATCTCGGCTCACTACAACCTCTGCCTCCTGGGTTCAGACAATTCTGCCTCAGCTTCCTGATTAGCTAGGATTACAGACAGGTGCCACCATGCCCTGTTAATTTTTGTATTTTTAGTAGAGACAGGGTTTCACCATGTTGGCCAGGCTGGTCTTGAACTCCTAACCTCGTGATCCACCCGCCTTGGCCACCCAAATTGCTGGGATTACAGGCATGAGCCACTGCGCCCTGCCCAATTGCAACACATTTTTTTGACATAATTTTATATCAATCATATTAATCAGATAAGTCAGCTGAGCTTTTTAAAGTCATGTTAATGTATGACCTAAAAATACAATAAATTTGCAACAAGACAAACCACTTACAACTAGTTCCACACTGCATTGTTTTCACCTCCAAATAAGAGATGTCATAACAATAAATTACTTGCTTACACAAATAGTAGTGGTACACTCAAAATCTCTGCATGGGAACAAAGGTAGGCTGAGGTTAAATGTGACATTCAAACCGGCTAATGAACTGTACACAGTTTTAATGTATAGCATGTCTAGTAATTCTTATATGGATTATTAAAATCTGAAACTGCCATGATTCTCTAAATATTATGACAAACTTTATAACATAACAGGGAAAATAAGTTTCAGTTTATTCATCAAATTAGAAATAAATAAACTTTAGGTAAAGAAGTATACTAAGAAATATATAAACAAAGTATGACATTATTTAAAAATTTGTTAAAATGGAGAATCTAATGATCTGATAATATTGGTAACTAATTTCATTGAGTGTTAATTGAAAAACAGAAAATTGAGAAATTGTTAAATATTAAATATTTCTTATTAAAATAATTGGAGAAAACTAGCATACATAACTCAAATAATATTATTCTAGTGAACAACAAATCTTATTTACTAGTATCTAATTCAACCAAAAGGAGTAGCTTTGTTAAGGCCTTAGAAAACTTTTTGTTTTGTTTTGTTTAAAATAAATAAAATAAAATGTACTCTAGAAAACAACGTAAATTTATTTTCCTTCTAAGAAGTCATATCTCAGTAAAATTAAAGGAATGTGACCTAATCAATAATCAGAAAACATTTTAATATGAATAATTTTGAGTTATTTATGAATTTCCAATTACCCAAGAGCCATAAAAACTGTTGAACAACCTGCGAGGTCAATAGGTGATTTGTCAAAAGCAGCAAATCCTATTTTCACTCTCCTATTTCCGTAATTTCTTCTGAAAAGGCAACTTCGGTTGTGAAAAGAGAAACTAAAAGCAGAGTGTCGCATATCAAATTAAGAACACTTAAAAGAAGTCTATCACCTGACCAAATTCACTGTGTTTCTAAAAACAAAAGGTAAAACTTACCCGTTTAAATTGACAAATGGTTGCCTTGAATCTTTCTTGTAGAATCATGATTAAAGGAGTTACCTGTCTTCACATTCACTGATCATTTATTTATACAGTATCAAGGTAAAAATTGTAATCCATTTATTTGATGAGTGGGGCTAGAGAGTATTCACAGCCATCTTCAATCAAATGGAAGAAACTAGTCATACCTAAGTCAAGTAATATCTACCTCATAGCTGTGCAACTTCAGACAAGCTACTTTGATGTTCTTAGCTTCTCTTTCTTTGTATGTAAAATAGTGTCTGTTAATATCAGATAATGTATTATAGGAAGAAAATATTGTACTGAGAAAATTTCATAAATATTTTCTTTCTGTATTGGTCAGTAATTTTAGTCAATAAGAGGTATATTTTAATGCAAGGATTGAAATCCAGAGATAGATGGTTTCAGTCTTTGATTCACCAAGCATGACCCAGAATTTTCCCGTCAGTGACATGCTTAATTTCATGCTTAGGTTTATTGCCTCATGGTCTCAAGATGATGTAGCTTCAAGCACCAGGAGTTCATCTAAAAGCGAAGCAAGACAGTGAAAGAACAAAGTGCATTTTCTACAAAGGCTCTCTTCTTTTATCAATGAAAAGAAAAAAAAAACATGTCTAGGAACCCTCAAGCCAACTTTCTCTTCCTGGTGTTTTACTGGGGAGAACTGGGTCTTATGCACAGAAGCCAGAGAAAACAAATATCATCAAAACAGGACAAGATAGCTCTTTTTAGTTTAGATCAACCATGCCACGCTCCCAGGGCAGACATACATTTTCTTTCTAGGAAAAAAAAAGGAGGTTCTATTAACCAGGGTAGTCTAGGGTTGTAGAAGCAATACACACTGCCTGCTATACTTTTATAAGTATTATAGTAGTAATCTGAGCAAGATAAGCACAAAGAGGGATTAATTCTAAATGGATGTTAGGTAAGGCATCATAGAAACAATGGTGCTTGACATGGATTTTGCATAGTGTTTTACTTGAAGAGTGATGAGGAGAATAGCAGTCCCAACAGTGGTAAAAGTGTGATTAAATATAGTCTCAGTGGCAATATGATATTAGCAAGTTTCTTGTTCTAAACATCCTCAGAATTCAATCTATGCTTTGCTACCTACAATGGTTTCTGACTTTTTAGTCAGTGTCTGTATAATTTCAGAATTCTGTTTGGCTGCCAATGATAGAAGCCTGGGGAAAATGGCTTTAGAAAAATTAAGGTTATATTTTTCTCACTTAAATAAGAATTTTGGAATCTGGCAGTCCAAGGCTGCTATGATGGTTCCATAATGTCATCAGGAAGCTGGTCTCATTTCAGCTTTCTGCTCTACCATTCTTAAAGAGCAATGCAACTCTCCATGCTCGCAATTGGTTTTGGGAGCTCAAAGACATCCCCATCCGAGACTTTTAAAGGGCCTCCTATAAACACCCCTCAGTGACTTCTGCTTTTATCTCCTTGGCCAGAACTGTGTCATTTTACTATCCTAGAATTAAAAAAAAAGTGGAGAAGTTTATTTCCTTAAATGTGCTGCTCTGAAAATACATAAGATTCTGTTATTAAGGAAATAAAAAGTATTGGGTATGCAGTTAGAAGTATCTGTCATAGAGTCTCAAAAATATTAATATTCAATACTGTATACAAACAGTTTTTAAGTATTCCTATCTATATATTTCAAGATTTTTTATAATCATGCTTCCTACTCACATTTGCAGTAATTAACATGCAAACAAATATTAACTAAATTAATGTAGATATCAATCAGGGACTATTCTAGATTCTAGTGAAATGAGAGGAATATGATGTGGTTTCTTCTCTAATGGTGTTCCCTCCGTGGTCCACTTTTTCTACACTCAGTTTCTGTCACAAACTTTCCCCAAATTCACAAGTTTTTAATTGCAATATATAGATTTGTACCTGGTAAACTTGTTTCCCAGTATCCTAGTCATTAATACCATATGTGTATTATAGGAAATTACGTGATCTATTCAATCAGAGTTCATTCATCATCTTTCTGCCCTTCTCTTGGCATGTAATATGTATCTCTTTCTGCCATTTAACAATGTTTTTGCCTTAAACGTAACTGCTTGTGTCTTCTCCCTCTCACTGTATTTTGAACTCCTTGGGTCAAATTCTGTGTCTTACTCATCTTTGTATCTTTGCCAGTGCTTCAAAGTAAGTGTTCCATAAATATGTGTAGACAGTTTTTGTAATCTATAGTTACCTTCTGTCATCACTAGATGGCAAGTCTGCACTGTTGGGGTTTCAGACTAATTAAGTTTACTCCCCTTTGTGCCTTGGGGTGTAATTAGTTGGTATAAATGGTGATTAGTAGTTCGGTACAGCAAAAAGTAAAATATATATCATTTAAGACAATCCTAGTGATATGTTTAGGTGAGGTACAGTGTAAAAATTGGAGACTAGTGCAAACATGGCCAAGTAGAAAGCAATTCACAGACTTATTAGGATGATGGAAAGAGGTACTTTTATGATTTCACCCCACATATAGCTTATGTCCTTTGCAGAATACTTGCCATCAATGTATATGCTAAACTAAACAAAACAAAATATTGCACATACTTCAGGAAATCTTTCCCCAAATGTTGTCATAACATAAGCAATGAGCTAACTATATATTTCCCAAATTATCAACAGTCTAAGACTGGTGTTTGAAAGTAACACTACTGGCTTATATCATTTTTATTTCTTAAGCTAGCCCAAGTACTACAAAGTCCTCTATGAAACAGTGGCTGGAAATATTTTAGTCTCAACGTCAGAATAACCAAGAGACGTTCCTATATTACAGTTTTAATATTATATTTAATTGTGTAAATTCTTTTAATATAGTTTAAATCTCATGAACACAGAGACTACTCTTGTTTTGTTCACCTGTGCTCCCTGTGTCTAAGACATAACCAGGTGTACAGTGGGAGGTTGATAAATATTAAATATCAAGTGCCTTTAAAATGAGATTTTCTGACAATTAAAGCAATTCTTGTGTTGAGATTATTATATTACAGAACAGGACATTAATCATTAAACAACTTCAAATAACTAGCAACCAAAATTTATGAGGTAAAATACGTACTTCTCCTATATTTTCCTCTAGTTATTAATGTGATAATTTACCAGTAGAGCTGAATTTATTATCCCTTATGCCATTGAATTTTTAAAAATTAATGGAACAATCTTTTTAAGAATTGTCTTTCAAGATATTGCTTCCCTTGAGTTTTTTAGATTACTATACTTTATTTGTTTATTTATTTATCTTTTGAGACAGAGTCTCGCTCTGTTGCCCAGGCTGGAGTGCAGTGGTGCAATCTCGGCTCACTGCAACCTCCACCTCCCGGGTTCACGCCATTCTCCTGCCTCAGCCTCCTGAGTAGCTGGGACTACAGGCGCCCGCCACTATGCCCGGCTACTTTTTTGTATTTTTAGTAGAGGCGGGGCTTCACCGCGTTAGCCAGGATGGTCTCGATCTCCTGACCTCGTGATCCTTCCGCCTCAGCCTCCCAAAGTGCTGGGACTACAGGCGTGAGCCACTGCACCCGGCAGATTACTATACTTTAAATATTGTATTAGATATGTTGCCTGCCCCTTTTGAAATTGATAAAATGTGTAATAAACTATAATGTAACTCTACCAAAAATTAGATATATATTTTTAAAAATATGTCTAACTTGAATCTAAGCTCTTCAGGAAATATACATTTGTTAAAACTTAACCCAGCACTAAAGAAACAGAGAATCTTACAAGCATTATCCAATGTAGTCCTCATAAAGTCATTATGTTATTATTTCCATGCTTTATGTGAGAAATCTGAGACCTAAGTCACATAACTTTTCAGTTTCAGTAAGTGGACAGGCAGTAATCTTGCATAACAGATTCTTAAATTCCATTAATTCTACATCTATAATTATCCAAGTGAAATTGGTGTAATAAGAATGAATTATTGAAAGTAATATTTAGTTTTTAATGTTTTAATATTCAATATGTTTATAATTTACTGAAGGTTTATATAACCCTGAAGCCTTGTATTTACTTTTATTATTTTTATATAAGTTGATTATCCAAATATGTTGCTTCTTTGATATAATTATTAATAGAAAACAGAATTACACAAGATATACTGTTACAGATGTATTTGATAACACTTCTAATAGTTCTAAAGAGAATTACGTTGTCTGTAAACTTTATTTTATTTTATAAAATCATATTCCTAGGAAATTTGTTCTCCTATTGCCCAATGATGTGTTCATTAGAACAATGTTTTCTTAGGTACCTCGCGTTCATTTCATTTGGGAATTTTAATCGTGTTTTTAATACTGGGGTTTCCTTTGTTATATGCAAAAAAATTAAACAGTCAAAAAATTCAGGAAAAGCAAAATGTATGCCAATTAATAAAACAGATATCTCAAAGGCATTTTCTAAAGTAGAAATAATAAGGAATAAAATAAATGATAACAACATAAAAATAAAACGTAGCCCAGAAAACAGAGGTAAGCAAAACAAGAATAACTATACGAGAGAGGGAGAGAGCTGTGAATATCCAAGACACGAACATTTCATGCACATGAAGCATACTTGCAAAGACCCTATGGTTCTTTGCCTGACATACAGAAAGATCATTTTGGAAGTCAGAGGAATACAAAGCAGTAAGTTCAGGAGCGGAATGTCAAGAGCTCGGTTTTGAACATGTGAAATTTACATACCAAACAAGACACAAAATTGGAGAGAGAGGTGAGGTGGACAGGTGAGTACATGACTCTAAAATTCATGCCCACAAATTAATTTTCTTTAATATTGGTTCAATTCCGTGCCTAGTCACTGTCTAGATACATTATGTCTATTTGACTTTAATCAAGGAGTGTGAGATGATTATTTAGCATAACACAAAGGTAGTGAATTAAATACATAGAAAGCTTTCCCTAACTTCTCCATGTATAGTTGATTACCACTCCCTTTTCCCAACACTGTGCCCTGTACAAACCTCAGTTTCAGCATATGCCACTCAGTTTCTTAATTATTTATTTATCCATCTGCCTTGCTACTGCAAGAATTCTGAAACCAGGAATTTGTTTTTCTTTTGTTTTCTTTTTTATCTTCTATGTTTAGAACAGGTAATAGGTAGTGAGTAGTAGTCTGTCAAGCTGAAATGAAATATTTCTCAAGCTAATCATACTGAGAAATGTAGCTTAAGATATATAAAGTTAACATAGAGACATGGAAGTTTTTGCTTTAATTATTTTAAAGGAGTGTCAAACCTTAATGTCCTCTTATCCCAATTTCCAGTATAGGTATATTTTTACCAAAACATTGTTTTTAAAAATCTACTAGGATATATATTTGCACTTGTTCTAATATATGGTATTTATATACAACTTGATATCAATTTTTTTGCTCTGCTGCACATGTGTATACCAAAAATGAGCTCAAAAAGATAAAAATAGTTAAATGCAGTGATTTACACTAATAAAAATTGCTGTGAGGGTTTTAAAAGCAATTCAATTACTGGAAAATATAAATGAGGAAATGCATATACTGATTTTTCACAGAAGTCTATATAACAGGATAGTTTCTTAAAAGAAATTACTAGAATAAAAATGATTTATGAGGAGATTTTTGTCAAGGCTATTAAAAATCAAAATACATATTTTCTTACATTTCCCTTAAAAATACTTCTCTATCTTGAAGGTGCACCAATTTATAATAGAAACGATCATTTACATAGGCAAAGTCTGTTTATATATACTGTAACCCAATGACTTTTAAGATAAAAAATAGCAATTGCTACTTATCATCACCAAAACTTACCACTTTATAAATATTATTCAATCTTTAAAAAATCATGCATGCAAGGTTTTATTATTTTTGTTTTAGAAATGAGAAAATAAAAGTAGTGAAGAATAACTTTTCACCATTACCGTTGTTAATTAGTGGCAACAATTATCCCTTCCAAACACTCTCAGTTATACTCTGTATACAGTTCCATTAAATGCTGTTATTGAAACACAGTATTATACACCTGAGATTTGTTTAAAAAATATTGCATTATATTTGAGCACTGTGCACATTGTAATACTATCCACATCACTTTTGATGGTTTTCTTGAATAAACTATATGTGTAGACATATAATTAGAAGATGTTTGACTGAAAAGAACAATATTGACAAAGCATATATTATCCTCAGATAGGCCAGGATGATGAAAAAGCCTAGTTTGAGAAAAAGGTTAACAGATATATAAAAAAAATTATAGGATGAAATGCTAATTTTCGTATTTGTAGTCTGCAGTATACTTTTGTCTTAGGTATAAGCACAATTAATTTTGTAGAGAAAGTCCTAAAGGTGGAATTTCTAGGCAAAATATATATAAGCTAAAAATTTTAATGATGTCATGAATGTTCTAAAAAGGCTTTATTTATAAACTAATACTCTCACTAGCAGAGCATAAGAATGCCAGTTATCTGTGCACCTTCTTTAAAATGAGTGATAATTAATCTTTTACTTTGGCTACTTCGATGATAAAAAAATCCAATTATTGTTTTAATTATTGTTTTAATTGATGTTTTCTGATTTACTAATGAGTTTAAAAATCTATTCAAAGATTAGCCATCCATATTTCTTTTTCTGCAAATTTCTTATTTGTTTCTCTTGCACATTCTTAATCAACTTATAAGATTTTTCTTACTGTATTTTATACAATCTTTTTATTATTAATGACATTTCTTTTTCTGTAATATAGTCTGTCACTTATCTGATATAATAAAGAAATGATTCATTTTATATAGTTAAATCTGTCTTTCCTTCATGATCAGGTATCTAGGCATTGTTTTGGGGTTGTTTTTTGGTTATTGAGAACTTTTTATTGCAAAGATCATAAAAATATTTGTCTACATTTTCTTTCAAATTATTCTAGGTTTTATCCTCGCTTGTATTATTAATTATTGTGTAAATTATTCCCTAGAAGAGTATAATATAGTCGTTCTTCCTCTTTGGTACAGATTTCCTAATATTATTTGATGACCAGGTTATGTCTGCCCACTGATTTAAAGTGTCACTTCATTTGTAGCTTAATTTTGATTTATATACATATGTGTCACTGTCTTGACTCTGTTCAGTTGACATATTTCTTTATTCTTGAATGTTATTGTCATCATTGTGACTTTGTAGGGCAAGTAGTCTTTTTATTGCCTGCTACCAATATGGATGGGCTTCACTTACTAGTTTTTTTTTTTAAGTTAAATGATGCCAGCCTAGCAACAATAAAATTTAAATTTCAGTTACCACAGTATATCAACTATAAAAAATTGAACAAAGCATAAACTTTGCTGCTAACACTCCATTCCACAAATTATAATGCAAATAATAGGAACATCATGATCAATGACCAATCGCATCACTTCTTTCAGAATCTGCCAGTGTTTGGTCACTGCACATCTGTTAGTTCACATACAAACAGCAAAGCGTGTAGTTGTGTTATCTGTTTATTCCCCAGTAATACACTCATATGACACTTTACAAAATAGTTAATCAAGAGAGTAAAGCAGCAAAAGTGCAGCAAAGAAATTAAAAGTGATAAGACTGAAAGTGAAACTAGATTTTTAAAAATGTTTTAAATGCACACTTTGAGCAAATCTTCAAAGAGAAGGCATTGAAAGTAAATGGAGCGAGGACACAGATGCTGGGCGGAAGGGGGAAATAGCTGGGTATCCTGCACAAGGCTACCAAGCACCAGGAACTCTTCCTGGCCTCCTGCAACTCCAGGGGAAGCGGAGAGCTGAACAGCTGAGGAGTGGCATGCTCTCACAATGAACCTCATGGATCCTGGTAGCAGGAGACCCCACAACCCCTACAGACACTTGGGTTGGCAGAGGGAGCTGCTTAGATAGGTAGCAGAATCAGAACTCCAGCCTGATTCTGCTACTGTCTGGACGTGGAGCAGGACCGTCTGTAGTGGAGCACAGCCAGGGACTCCAGTCTCCCAAGGGTTTTCATGCTTCTTTAGGAGACTTTAGCCTGAGGGTGACCACCAGGCCTGGACAGAGTAGGGTGGTTCTGCACATGTGATGGAGCCAGTCTGATCTGAGTGATCCCTGTCTGCTATCCTCTCCCAAGGCCCCACCTTGGCCATGCCCACTTGTAGCCTCAGATGTCCAACCTGGGTGCTTCCTGGAGGTCCTCGGCGGAGCACCTATTACAGCAGACAGCACCTGGCTATCAGAGAGCTCCAGCAGACTGGCCCCAACCAATGTGTGTCTACTCACACCTTCCTTCTACCACAGCCTCCCCTGCACAGCTTTGTTGGTAGGCACTTGGTCATGGCCACCTCCACACCACTTTGTCAGCACACATGCACAGGTCGTCCTTGCCTTCCCTCCCCCGCCAGCATGGATGTGTGAGTGCTCCTTGCCACCCATCACCTCAGATGCTCAAACACGGGAACCTAGCCAGGCTGCCACTGCTGGCAAAAACAGGCACACAGATGCCATCAGCCCTGTCTCTCCATGCTGCCACTGCTGCCAATGTGCATGCATGCATGGAGGCCAGCAGCCCCGCAACAACTGGTGTCTCAAGTGATAACCTGTGTCTCAACCGTGCCATGGCTGCCACTGGTGCAAGTGCAAGCATGGACACTGGCAACCATAACCCACCCATACCATGCCGCTGGAGTGAGCATGTGCAGGAACACTGTACCCTGCTCCTGCTGCTTCCCCACCACAGGAAATGTGCTTGTACCCCACTACAGTGTCACAATTGCTGGCACATGCAAGCAAGCACAGATCATCCTGCCAGCACCCTGGTGAAGGCTTTGGCTGGCACAATCCATCGGAGTGTTTTCGTCAGCAGATGGGGAACACCTCAGACCCTCCAATGCAACAGATTCCTAACCTCTAGGGGCCAGAAAACAAAGCCAAGAGCACATTACCAACTCCCCAGAGTTAGAGGATGCAGCCCAGGAGTACTGAGCTAAGCCTTATCCCCTTAAATGTCCTAGAAATAAAGCCAGTCAGCTGAAATCACCTTATACCAAATAAGAGCATCAAAGGAGAGAAAAGCAAAAAAAAAAAAAAAAAAAGCCATTCAAAGGGGAGTAACTTCAAATATTGGAGGAACATCAGGCCACATAGAGGAGTAAGAACCAATGCAAGAACTCTAGCAACTCAAAAATCCTGAGTGTCTTCTCACCTCCAAACAACTGCACTCATACCCCAGAAATAGCAATGGTTCTTAACTTGCCTGAAGTGGCTGAAATGACAGAAATACAATTTGTGATATAGATAGAAATGAAGATTATCAAGATTCAGGAGAAAGTAGAAACCGAATCCAAGGAATCTATGGAATACAATAAAACAATACAGGAGCTGAAAGACAAAATGGTTATTTTAAGAAAAAAAAAAAAAAACCTGATCTGATAGAGCTGAAAACTCACTTCAAGGATATTATAGTACAATCACCAAATACTAACAGCAGAATCAACTAAGTTGAGGAAAGAATCTCAGAGTTCAAAGACCAGTTATCTAAAATAACTCCATCTGACAAAAAATTTAAAAAATGAATAAAAGGAATGAACAAACCCTTTAAGAAATATGGGATAATGTATAAAGACCAAATCTACAATTCACTGAAAGAAGAAAGAAAGCAACCAACTTGGAAACTATGTTTCGGGATATCATTCATGAAAATTTCCCCAACCTTGCTAGAGAGGCCAATATTCAAACTCAGGAAATGCAGAGAATCCCTATGAGATACTATACAAGAAGCCCATCCCCAAGACACATAGTCATCAGATTCTCCAATGTCAAAACAAAAGAAGAAATGTTAAAGGCAGCTAGAGAGAAGGGGCAGGTCACCTCCAAAGGGAACCCCACCAGGCTAACAGCAGAACTTTCAGCAGAAACACTACTAGCCAGAAGAGACTGGAGGCCTAGATTCAGCATTTATAAAGAAAAGAGATTTCAACCAATAATTTCATATCCAGCCATACTAAGCTTCATAAGCAAAAAATAAATATGACCTTTTCAGACAAGGAAATGCTAAAGGAATTCATTAGCACCAGACCTGCCTTAAAAGAAGTTCTTAAAAGGTCCTAAATTTGGAAAAAAAGACCATTACCAATCACCACAGAAACACATTTAAGTACATGGACCATTGACATTATAAAGCAACCACACAATGAAGTCTGGCATGATAACAAGCTAAACAATATGATGACAGGATCAAATCTGCACATATCACTATTGACCTTGAAGGTAAACGGGCTAAGCGCTTCAATTAAAAGGCACAGAATAGCAAGTTGAATAAAATAGTAAAACTCAGTGGTATGCTGTCTTCAAGAGATCCATCTCACATGCAATGACACCCATAGGCTCAAAGTAAAGGGATGGAGAAAAATCTGTCAAGCAAATGGAAAACAGAAAAAAGCAGAAGTTGCTATTCCAATTTCAGACAAAACAGGCTTGAAATCAACAATGGTCAAAAAAGACAAAGAAGGGTGTTATATAATGGTAATGGAATATTATAAATTTAAATGGAGACAACAAAGATATGATGAGACACAGGTCTAAATGAAGCTATAAATGAATCTTATTGAAAATGTCTCATGAATATTTTTTAAAAGTTCTTAAGTTGCTATACTATAAACAGAAAATTGGTGAATCATATTGTTCAAATATTATAGAAAGTGTAAAATGAAAAGTTGATGTGGGCGCAAGTTTATTATCATAATGACTGTAGATTTTTACCATTAAATAGAAAAAGGAAATACATTTAATTACAAGAGGTAGTGTTAGAATCAACTGAACATTAAAGTTGAGCTGTCATTATTTCTCCAATATCAATATTCCTACTACTTTTTCATTACTTTGTATTATTATTATACTTTAAGTTCTGGGATACAAGTACAGAACATGCAGGTTTGTTACATAGGTATACACGTACCATGGGGGTTTGCTGCACCCATCAACCCGTCATCTACATTAGGTCTTCTCCTAATGCTATCCCTCCCCTTGCCCCCATCCCCTGACAGGCCCCGGTGTGTGATGTCCCCCTCCCACTTATGAGTGAGAACATGCAGTGTTTGGTTTTCTGTTTCTGTGTTAGTTTGCTGAGAATGATGGTTTCCGGCTTCATCCATGTCCCTGCAAAGGACATGAACTCATTCTTTTTTATGGCTGCATAGTATTCCATGGTGTATATGTGCCACATTTTCTTTATCCAGTCTAACATTGATGGGCATTTGGGTTGGTTCCCAAATATTTCACACTATAATTCAAAATAATAACACCTTGTCATTTCCTTTTCTTGATATACATTTTCTTCCTTTTATAGTCATTTCTGCCCAGTAAGATACACTGTATTACCGGAAAATATTCAAAATATACTCATGGCTACAAATTTCACACTATTGTCTATCTTTCTCAACCAAAAATCTAAAAGGATTTTTGTTATCAAGGTATACTGAAGACAAGAAGGGAATGCTAATTTTAATTAAAGTATCATATTTCTATGAAGACAGCTGTCTGAGTATAACATGATTTAAAGAATAATCCTCTCAACTCTTTCTCATTTTCTCTCCATCCCTATCACACACACAAGAGTGCATGCACACACAAATGCATGTACACACACATGACATGCCTAACCTATCTATCTTTCTAGGATACTTAAAAAAGGAGACCTTAAAAAAAAAGTTGACAAAGCAGGCGCTTTAATCCTTTCATAAAACATTCAACTAAAGGCACCTTCTGGAATTTCCATTATCAAATACCTAATTGATAAAAATTCAAGAGCAATGATTTTTGCTTCTAAATAAGTATAAATATTTTTGTCATTGAACCCTGATCCCGTTTTCTGAGGGAAAAATATCCATCCTTTTAATACTTGTAATATAAGCTTCATTTTTTATTTCTGTTTCTCTCTCACACTTACTTTGTTTCATACTTCAGTAAGAAAGAAAACATTAATTTCTTACTTAAGACCTTTCAAAACCAATTTTTCAATAATATCCTTTCAATCTACTTATGAGGTATCCTGAATTTAATGTTTCTTCTACATGACTAGGCTTAGGGATATAGGAGAAGAAAAGTTAATCCCAAACCACAAGGAAATTGGTCTCTAACATCTTAAATTTAAGGTAAAGCACTATCCTTAACTTTAAAATAGAATTGAATACGACTGCTATTTTTTTCACAACAAAAATATTCTTACTAAATCTTTATCTTTTTCATATTTTAGATTAATAAAACATGAGAATTTATTACAACTTTCTGAAATTTCACCTTATTACACCATTCTTCAAAATAAAGATGTGATACAAATTCTTGAATAATGCAATTAATTATTATTTTCTTCAATCACAATTTTAAGGAAAAGGCAAAATGAACTACAATTATTTATATGTAATATATTTATTTGTAGTTCATAAGTCTTGGATTACTATTATTGCTCTACTAAGCAAAAATATAGTTGTCAACATTTGTGATATATTTTACTTCTATGAGAATCTTCAACAAAGATTTGCATGTTCCTTAGATAAAAAATACATGATATGTTATTTGATATGTTAAAAAGCCTAAGCAGGCATTTTATAAGACTGACATACCAAATAATGTAAATATATGATTTCAAATGAGCTGTGAACCTAGCCCAAACACTGGCAAATAAATATAATAAAAATTACAGTCATTTGTGATTTAAAATAATATTTAGTGTATAAACTTTGTTGTACTTCCTAAAATTTAACATGTAAATTGTCACCAAAGGAAAAGAACTACATTTCAAACAAAGTTTTTAATAAGGTTACATTTAAAACATGGACATTCAAAATTATTCACTTAACCTGTGAGTCATTATCTTTTTTTTATTTGTTCATTAAATTTTTATTGAACACTAATTATTTACCAGGTATCATAATAAGCTCTAAAGATCTAAGTGAATAGCAATATACAATACTCCTGGCCTCCTTTATTAAGGTGAGGGAGATAGATATATAGGTTGTGTATCCCAAATTATCTTAATTTATTCTGCAAGACACCAGGTAATATTTACTATTACTTATGTAAAAGACAACCTCACTTTCTCATACATTTTTTTGTGTGTGTGATCAAATATTTACTTAAAAAAAAATTGAGACTTTATGACCAGTTGTAGAAATGTGTGACCCTATAGGAGGGACATCCATAGATAGAAGCAGTGTGGGATTTTGTAAATAATAAGAATATACTTTTAATTATAACCAAATTTAAGGAGATCAAGAAGTCACAATTAGCAATTCACTTTGTTAGAAGTTGCTAAGCTGTTGCCAACAGTTTTGTTGATTTGCTTCTTTAAAATAATCTTCCTGTGTTGTAACGTATGACAGTTGTGGTATATGTGAACCTTCATAATTATGATTTTATACATCTAGTATTCTAAAATAATAAGCCTCTATTCTTCACAAAAGAAATGCAATCAACTAAAAACTAGCAATTTTTATAAAGATTCTTTTCTTTGAAAACATTTCTTTCATATTATTCAATAAAATTTGGAACCCCTTGCATTTTTTAAGTCTCTCATCTTCCCCTTTTCTCATTTGCCTTCTTTCCTTCTTTTTTCAGAAGTCTTTTTCTGCTCTTCCTGTCCTGCCCATGTGGACATCCTCAGGCCTTGTTGATGACACACAAGATTTGTAACCCCACACACTGCAGTGGTATGAACTTGGGATCTAATGAGGCTAAAGTTAATGCATTCGTTGGTCTCAAGAGTAGCTAAAATGTTCATCCTTATTTGTTAAACATTTGGAAATTTAGACCATAGATAAAATCCTGACAATACCTCTAATGATTATTGAGAAACTAACTGATCAGCATTTCTCTGCCATTTTCCTTATTACTCATTATGAACTGAGTCTCAAAAGTCAAGTGTAACTTACTAGTTCTAAAACTCTCTCATACAAATGATTTTACTGTTCTTTAAAATTGAGGATAGAAGGGTTTGAGAAGTAGAAAGTTGTGAATATTTAAAAAAACATAATTTTATATTAAATTTGGTCATATATACATAGCATTACATTATTTTAATAATCTTGTGCTCCATTCATTTTCCAGAATGAATGGAGAGAAGAGTAGAAATAAAAAAAGATGGCTACATAGCAAATAAAGATATAATTATATTAAATTACATTTGGCTTAAAGCTGCTTCTGTACTTTGAATCCCTACATAGCAACCCACAACATAATTAATTATGAAAACTGCAAGCTAACTTAAGAGTATAATCTTGTAACAAATAGCTGAGTTTCAGTCAATCATAGCAGCTGAGTTTCAGACAATGCTTAGCTGCCAACAGATCACATCATTTTCACATAAGGCATATTCATTACCATACCATGCCCAAATAAGGCAAACACTGAGCTGTAACCAATCAAGCTGTTTCTGTACCTCACTTACTTTTTCTGTCTATAAATATTGCCTGCCCACCTTGCTGATTAGATAGAGTTGTCTCAGTCTCTTCTGGTTCTGAGGGCTGCCCAATTCATGAATTTTTTTTTTGCTCAAATAAACTGTGCTAACTAAAGTTTTTATTTTATCAATATCAAAGCTGTAAAAAAACTGAGGAGAAAGCAGTTGCCAAAAAGATGAAAGAAAAACAACATGAAAACCTTTAAAATTAGCAAAAGTCAGTTTATAATAAAGTCACTTATCTCACTGATGAACCATTTATTTTAAAAGGCCCTTTTTAGTACGTATTTGATACAAGAGAACATGCTCAAATATGAATATATTTACAATCCTTAAAGGGCGCATAAAAGACTACATACTTTTTAAATGTAATATAAAAATATTTATATTACCCAATCAAAAATATGAAGCATGATGTTTAATACTATTAAATCCCTACTATTGTTTTTATTGGCATGAATGGCTGGAAAGTTATTCCATTCTGTGTTATCTTGTATAAATCATTCCATAAAATATTTCCTCCTAAAAATTAACATATAAATACGTTAGCATCTGTCATTGAATTTCTACAATATATAAAATGAAGTGCTTCACCATGATGTTATTTAAGGATGAAAACATGGCTTTCTGTGATTAAATAAATGACACAATAGGTCTCTGTAGTTTTTAATCAATACAGTTTATTCTGTAAATTATAGTGTTAGTCCACAAATATTTCTATGTTAGGAAATATCAGAGGAGAAATAAAATATTATAATGTCCCTTTAATAAATAATCACAATCAGCAGCTCAGCATGGAAAATTGTTGTCCTGGTAGGGAAAAGGACAGCAGAAGTTCTAATCTGTTGTAAGCTGCTCTCTCAAAAACATATTATTCATAATTTCTTGTGATAGATGTGGTCTGTCCTTCATTACAAAATCATGCCATTGCTCCTGAAAGCTTCTTTCTTTTAGAAAACAAGTAAATTTAGCTGCACATTTCAGAAATAAAATTATAAAACTAAAATATATGGAGCTTTGCCTCTGGAATTCTTTTCAGACTAATTTTCTGAAATCTTTCTTTTCTCTTAATGACACCACTTTTTATATTTGGATATTCCATTATAATTAACATTAGAATTGTAAATATAGCAGAAAAAGGTTGCTTCAGCTGTCTTTGCTTTTATAAACAATCTCTCTTTCAGTAAAGAGCCCACTAATTATATGTCACCTTAATCATCATACTTACATGAAAGTAAAAAGAAACTTTCTGTTTTGGTTTTAATTGTGTCCTGACCTATTCAAAGATACTGAAAGATGCATTAATAACAAAACAGTTTAAGTCTTAGGGTTGGAAAGCAAGCACAATGTCAATTTATATTTAAAATATTATATTTACATAGTATCTCACATATGACAAAATATCATGCTTCTTTTTATTTTGTCCTCAATATAGTGCTTAATGCATCGACTCATGCCTTTAATCCCAGCACTTGGAAGTCCAAAGTACATGGATTGCTTGAGCCCAGGAGTTCAGGACCAGCATGGGAAACATGGTGAAAACCCATCCCTACAAAAAGTACAAAAATTAGCTAGATGTGGTGGCACGTGCCTGTAGTCTCAGCTGCTTGGGAGGCTGAGGTGGGAGGATCAATTGAGTCCAGGAGGTCAAAGCTGCAGTGAGTCTTGATCATGCCACTGCACCCTAGTCTGGGTGACAGAATGAGACCCCAGCTTAAAAAAAATAAAAAGTGTATTCTTTCTCTTTAAAGTTCTCTCATTGTAAATAAATATGGACATTTCATGGAGATTAAGCAATACAGAAAATAATAAAGTATTTATAGATCATTTTTCCCCTGAAAATGTTCATCAACAAGGATTGGGTGTTGATTTAATACTATTTGTGTTTAGAACCCTAACTTCTGAATTGCTATAAAATATTATTGTGATTATAGCCTTTATTTTCTCCTCCTTAGCAAATTAGTCTTGCTTGACTTAATATATATATGGTATTTTGTTTATTGCAAGGTAGGTTAAAATTTGGAGATCAAACTTTTAAGGATTATGCATAATTTTTGTATTCAGAATAATTTAAATGAAAATATGAACAAAGGCCAAATATGTGTAATACATAATTTATCCCCATTTATTTTCACAGCATTTTGCAAATGGATAAACGAATTATATACCTATATATTTCCTTTATACAATTTTAATATTACCCACTTTTGCGTTTCCCAGAATTCCTTGTGATACTTCTCCAATCCTCTTTTGGAGAAGGGAATACTGGCTAAATATAATACAAATAGTATATAGATTACATAAATCCATTTATCATTTTGACAATAATTGCTGGTTTAATTAGCTTGGTTGATAAGAGCAGGGTAATGATGAGTTAAGATTTAATATGCACATGGATCTATTAAGTTTATATGTAAAATAAACTTACACTGTGTACCTAAACTGTTTAAATACTATATGTGAGAATAGAAAAGAAATGGCCTACCTAAATCTACCACCACTAAAAAAAAAATCAACATACTTACACTTGTTTTGTAAAGGGTTTTCACATTTATTATTTCATGTGAGCTATATGACACTTCTTGAGCTACATAATACATTACTGTCCTTCTTGTAGGTTGAATAGACTGAAACAGAAAGTTTAAGTAACTTTCTCAAAGTCACATAGATAATCAGTTGAGGAGGAAGAACTATCTCTATGGTCTATAAAATATTATTACCATCATTTGTGGAAGAGTAAGTAATACTTGCCGTTTGAGCTGACATGTCTTTTACCTACTAAAAAGGAGCTCAAGATCTATTTTGGAGAGATAAATAGAATAAAATAAGATACTCTAAATATTTAAAACTAGATGCAACTCACAGTAAGAAGAATTGTTACTGAGAATTGACTGGAGGATATTGACATTTAATCTTAATTTTAATGAAGACAAATAGGATTATAAGAAGAAAAATCGTCTTCAAAAATATAGAATAAACAAGAAATTATATGTAGACTACATGACACCACCCACCCACAACCGAAACCAAAGTACCCTATCTAACTAACACTATAGACACATCTACAGAAAAAAAAAAGTGTTTCTGGTTGGGCGTGGTAGCTCACACCTGTAATCCCAGCACATTGGGAGGCCGAGGTGGGTGAATCATTTGAGTCCAGGAGTTCGAGACCAGCCTGGCCAACATAGTGATACCTGATCTCTATTAAAAATACAAAAATTAGCCAGGCATGGTTGCTCATGCTTGTAATCTCAGCTACTTGGGAGGCTGAGGCACGAGAATTGCTTGAATCCAGGAGGCTGAGGTTGTAGCGAGCTGAGATCACACCACTGCACTCCAGCCTGGGTGAAAGAGCAAGCCTCTGTCTCAAACAATAAAAAATAAAAATTATTTCCTATGAAATTTACTCCATAAAATTGAAAGAAATAACTGTTATGCTGGATGTGCAGATACCAACATAAATACAAAAGAGACATGGAAAAGCAAGAAAACATGACACCTCTGAAGGAATAAAAGGTCTCCAGTGCCAAAATCCAAGGAAAATAAAATATATAAAATGCCTGGAAAGGAATTCAAAATAGCGATTTCACAGAAACTAAGAAAGATACAAGAGAATACAGACAGGCGATAAAAAGAAATTTTAAACAATCATGATCTGAATGAGAAATTCAACAAAGAGATATCATTAAAAAAAGACATACTGGAAATTAAAAATTCAATGAATGAAATAGAAAATATAATAAGCTTCAACAATAAAGTATATTAATCAGAAGAAACAATTTCTGAACTTGAAGACAGGTGTTTTGAAATAACGTAGTCAGATTAAAAAAATAATCAAAGGAATTAAGAAAGCCTATGTGACATATAGGACACCACCAACTGAACAAATACGAAAATTCTGGGAGTTCCAGGAGGAGAGGAGACGGCAAAGGGCACAGAAAACCTGTTTGATGAAACAGTAGTGGAAAACCTCCTTATGTCTTACTTAGTTCCAATAATTTTCCTTATGTGATATGGATCTGAGATGCTGCATTCTTGAAATATCCTTTTTCTGGACAAATAACTTCTCTTATGAAATATGGCACCAAGAATTTCCTTTGCTTTAGAATAATTACTATTTGAAGATATTTAGTAAAACAGTCCCACTTCTTATGTTATTTCCTTGAATGATTCCAAATATCTATTTTTCCCTAGACTATAGATGAGACTAGAATTTATTCTTAATTCAAATTCTCAATTTGGTTAGGCAAAACAATGAATAAATGATGGCCAGTTTTTAAAAGTCCCTGAAATGAAAAAGATCAGACACAAATTGTAATTTAGCCAATCATAATTCTGCAAAAATAATGTATTTCATATGTAAAATTTAAATCTCCAGAAATTAGTGTTACATAAAGCTGTATAAAATGTATATTCATTATGATTTCATAATTTCATGAAATATGATGGTTTGGGAAAAAATAAGAATAAGAAAATATGTGGTCACTATAATGTCATCTCTAAGGTATTATCTTTTATTGACTTGAAGATGGAACAACAGTTTGTAGGATATCACTTTCAAAGAACACTGCTTGTAATTCCCACCCTCCTCTTAGCTCTAAAACAGGTCTTTTCAAAAGTCTTATCCTGTAAACTATCAATACAAAAAAAATGTGTTATGTTTGAAAAACAAATTGGTAATGTGTTCTGAATGGAAGGGCCTGGAATGGCATTTGGGATTAACTTTCCTACATTTTTAGAGGTGTTTTACTAAATCCCCAAAATGTTATATTTAAGGTTTTCACCAAAAAGGTAAAATCAGTAGTGCACATAACTTAATATAGCCATGTACAGCTTGCCTCTTGACATGCAGAAGTGCTCAATATATTTTAAGGAACAAAGGAATGGACGGAGAAAGGAAAGAAGGAAGGGAGCCAGGAGAGAAAGAAACATTTGTCTCTAGGATCCCATTGTCATATACAAAAAATATCTTCTATATTGCAAAGATTTTTGGTTCAGTCAATTTGTTGATCTGCCATTTTATTTCAATGATTTATGTTTATATATGATATATTTAATATTTACAGTATATTTTATATATGTAATTTTATAAAATATATTTACATATATACACACATACATATATATTACATATTTTAAAATATATATATTTTACATGTATATTTTAAAATATATTTATATATTTTTAAATTACATTTCTAAGATACATAAGTGAATTAAATTGTTTTCTATGTAGAGTGTTTTACAGCTGTATAGCTCTGTTTCTTTGTTTTTTTGTTTGCTTGTTAAAGATTTCTGCCTTAATGTCATCGGATAAGATATGATTACAGAAATAGCCAATATGGCCAAGTAGACACAACCAGAAGGAACTCTCACTGAGAGATCAGAAGATAAAGTAGACTGACACATTACCAGCAGATCTTAGGAAGAAAGGCGTTGAGAGTGGACAGAGTGGGGACACAGACCCTGAAGGGATTGAAGGATAGAGAAGCTGGGAACATGGGGCTGCTGAGCACCAGGACTAGTCCCTGGCCCTGAGGTGCTCCTAAGTAAGAGGTGAGTTAAATAGACATGAATGGCTCAGTCTCATTAGGTGCCTCAGAAATCGAAGCTGCAGGAAGCCCTACGAGTCCCACGAACACTTGTGCTGTCAGGGAGAGCTGCAAGGAGAGTCAGCAGGGACAGGACTCTAGCCTGTGTAGAAGCCAGAGGTTTGGTGTCAGAATGGCTGCAGTAGAGTATGCCCAGGGATGCTTATCCCCCAAGGCTCAACATGCTCCTTTAGGGGCTTTTGCCTTTGTTGACTGATAGACCTGGACAGAACAGGGCTGTCTTGTCCATGGGATGGGGGCAGTGTGTTCTGAGCACCATCCAGTCTGGTCTGCCAGTCTTTCCCAGGGGCTCTTTCTGGTCACACTCACTTGGAATGCAGCCTCAGATGCCCAACTGGGTCACTCCCCAGCAGCTACTACCATAGCTCCTACACCAGCAGACCCCTCCTCACCATCAGAGAGCTTATGTGGTCAGGCCTCCCTCCATTGGTGCGCACCTGCCTGCAGATTCCCCCTGCTGCTTTGCCGGCATGCACTCACCTGCAGCCTGCACCGACAGTTTTACTGGCACATAAGCACACACAGACCTCGCCACCACAAGCTCAACTCCACTGCATGCTATCATGAACCCCACTGCCACAACCCTGATGATGTGCTTTTCTGGCACACACCATCAAAGTATTGTTGCCAGGGGACTGAGAACACCTAGGCCCCCCTAGTGCAACAGGTGCTTACCCTCAAGAAGCCAGAGAACAAAGGTGTGGGCCTGGTCCCAGCCTGCCAGGGTTAGCATGTGCTGCCCAGGAGTGCTGAACTGAGCCTTCACCCCTTGAAATCATCGAGAAGCAAAGCCAGTCAACGGAACCCAATTATAGCACAGTCAGACACTCCAGGAAATTGAAGAATATAAAGGACATCTATAGAACACTGCACCAAACAACGAAAGAATATACATTCTTCTCATAGGTACATGGCAAATACTCTAAAATTGGCCACGTAAAGCAATTCTCAACAAATTCAAAGAAATCGAAATCATACCAACTACACATTTGGACCACAGCACAATAAAAATGGAAATCAATGCCAAGCGGGTTTCTCAAAACCATTCAATTACATGGAAGATAAACAAACTGCTCCTGGATGACTATTGGGTAAACAATCCAATTAAGGAAGAAATCAAGACATTATTTAAAACTAATGAGAAAAAAGATACAACATACTAGAAACTCTGCGACACAGGAAAGCAGTGTTAGAAGTATATAGTGCTAAATACCCACATTAAAAATTTATAAAGATCTCAAATTAACACCCTAACATCATCCCAAGAGGAACTAGAGAAAAAAACCACCAAAGACAGAAGTCAAGAAATAGCCAAAATGAGAGCTTGAGTGAATAAAATGGTGAAATAAGAAAACATACAAAAGATCAATGAAATCCAAAGTTCGTTCTTTGAATGAATAAGATTGATAGACCACTAGCTAAACTAATAAAAATACAAAGAAGATCCAAATAAACAAAATGAGAAATGACAAAGAAGAGATTATCATTACTACATTACCATTGACCTCAAAGAAATAAATGAAAAAAAAATCAAACCTCACAGACTATTACAAACATTTCAATGCACACAAACTAGAAATCCAAGAAGAAATGGGTAAATTCCTGAAAATACATAACTTCCCAAGGTTGAACCAATAAAAAAACTGAAACCTTGAATGGACAAATAACAAGATCCAAAACTGAATTAATCATAAAAAAAACTACCAACCAGTAAACATCCTGGACCAGACATTCACAGCCAAAATCTACCAGTTGTATAAGAAAGAGCTAGTACTAATCCTAAGTAAATTATTCCAAAAAATTGAGAAGGATGGACTCCTCCCTAATTCATTCTATGAGGCCAGCATCATTCTGATGCCAACACTGTCAGAGACACAACAGAAAAACAAAACTTCAGGCTAATATCCCTAAAGAAGATAGCTGCAAACATCCTCAAAAAAAAAATACTAGAAAATAGAATCAAGCAGCACATCAAAAAGCTAATCCACCACGATCAAGTAGGCTTGAGCCCTGTGATTCAAGGTTGGTTTGATATATGTAAATGAATAAATGTGATTCATCCCATAAACAAAACTAAAAACAAAAACAAAATAATCATCTCAACAGACATAGAAAATGCTTTTGATAAAATTTAACATTTCTTCATGTTAAAAACCCTCCACAAACTAGGAATTGAAGGAACCTACATCAAAATAATAAGGGCCATCTATGACAAATCCATAGCTAATATCATACTGAATGGACACATCCTGGAAGCATTCCCCTTGAGAACTGGAACAAGCAAGGATGCCTATTCGTACCAGATTCATTCAACATAATACTGAAAGGCCTAGTCTGAGCTATCGGGTAAGAAAAAATAAAAATAAAATAAAATAAAATAAAAGGCATCCAAATAGGAAGAAAGGAGGTCAAACTATCTCTCTTCCCAGATGATATGATTCTGTACCTAGAGAACCACACAGTCTCTGTCCAAAGGATGGAGGGTAGGAGGAGGGTGAAGATTGAATCTACCTAGTATGTACTATGCTCACTACCTGAGTGATGAATCTGTACACCAAACCCCCAAGATACAAAATTTACCCATGTTACTAACCTCCATGTGTAACCCCAAACCTAAAATTTTGGAATTTTTTAAAAAGATATTACACTAAAAATAATGTTTTATTATGAACTTGTGCAGTTCTAAGTTTTTCATATTAAATTCTATATGTATTTTTGCTAATTTTGTGCAAATCACTAATGTAATTTTGAAATCATTATGTTTTATTTACTTAATTAGGCCTTTATATTCAAAATTAATGTTGTTTAAGAAAACTATTAAAATAGAAAAGTAAAGTGACAAAAACGGAGAATAAGCTTGGAGATCATGAGAGCTATTATAATTTCATAAGACACTTAATATCGATCTGAGGTTTTTGGCTTTAAAAACAAACAAAATAGTACAAATATTATCAATTTCACAATTCTCATATTTAATAGAAGGATGCATATTTAACATATAAATGTCCAAACTGTAAAGGACAGAAAGTTTTTAAAATCAATTTCATAATTTTAAAAGATCATTCATTCTGTTAGCATAATTGTCAAATATTTGTACATCAAAGCTGCCAAATAAGAATTTTTATTGTTTTATTTTGAACATAAACTTCTCCAAGGTACTTGAGGGAATATTTAATAAGACAAATTAAAAATGAAAGTAACATTAAATACATATTGAAATAAGAAAAGATGTTTTATAATTGGAGAAGTCTCAAAACAGTTCCATTTAACCCTGTAAGTGCTATTAACATGCTCTTTAACTAATGTTTAATGAACGGCTCGGGTCTCTACTAACTGATTTTTTAAAATGCTTAGAAAGTATTATTTTCTCTTCAATTAGCATTTTTTATTTAGGTCACCACACATCCCAAGCAATGTTTCTGTACTAAATTTATCAAATATAATGATTCCTGCTTTTTCCTCTTTTATAGATCTATCCACATATTCACATCCTGTGTTTGCAAGTTTCTCTGCCAAAGCCACATCTGTTCTTTAGCAAAGCTACAGTTTTGTTGTTGTTTTGTTTTGCGTTTGATATGGGGTCACATTCTGTCATGCAGGGTGAAGTGAAGTGCAGTGGTACACTCTAAGCTCACTGCAATCTCCACCTCCCAGGCTCAAGCAATCCTCCCACCTCAGCCTCCTGAGTAGCTGGGACCGCAGGAATGGACACTATGCCTGGCTAATTTTTGGGGGGGGGGGGTGGGGAGGGGGTAGAGATGGAGTTTCGCCCATCTCTACCCAAGATGTTGCCCAGGTTGGTCTTGAACTCCTGAGCTCAAGCAATCTACCCGCTTTTGCCTACAAAAGTGCTAGGATTACAGGAGTGAGCTACTGCACCCAGCTAGCTGCAGTTTTATTTGCTACTTTCTTTGCTACCATATCTATTTTTGCTGAGAACAGAGAAAGAAAAAGTAAAGAAAATCTTCTCGAGATAAAAAGTTTGACTGAGAGCTAGCTTCATTTATGTTTTCTGAGGCCCATATTTGTTTACATTTCAGTATCTTCATACTAATGAAATATATAAGTATTCAGCAAATAGATGCTTTATTTTTATGTCTTAGCACTGACTTCTCATGTTATTTGTGGGTTTTGGGAATTCGTTATTTTAACCAAACTAATGAGGTAGGTAAAAGAGATATAGTTTCTTTGAACAAGTTTCAAAATCTCATTATACAAAAGTTTTACTTCTGATGCATAATCGATTAATTAAGATAAATATTCAGTAGCTGATGCAACCATTTCTTTAAATGTCATAACATCCTATAATGCATCGCAACATTGTTTAAAAATAAAGCATAAAATTATCTTGGTTTAAGAACTATAAGGGAGTGACAATTTGTGTCTATGTAAAAAATGCACCTGGGTTTATACATACCATTTTTAAAAATCACTCACTCCCACTTAACATAACTGCCAAATGCTTGTACATCAAAGTTGCCAAATAGGATTTTTTAGTGTTTTACCTCTGCTTAACATTTCATCCATATAGGACGATTTATACCTGCAATAGAATGTACAATAAGAAAAGGAAAAAAATCTAAAGCTGTTAAATTTTAAAAATGCTAATAATAAATAGAAACACCTAACACCTATCATGTTGGATTGTGGTATGTGTATAAGTATTGATTAAAATATTTTGGTGAGATATATTGAGGTAATAAAAAGGAAAGAATGTGTTTATATAATACAAAATGTAAAAATAAAATATCTGACCTAAATAAATTATATTTCAAAAGAAATCAGCTAAAAACTTTTGCTAGCTCAAAAGTGAAAAATTGTTAACTCTAATGTATTGTATGAACAAGTGTTTTAAATTAATGGAAAATACAAATGCTAGTTTTATGTTACAGAACAAAGATAATGTTACACACACACCTTTTTCATTTCTCTTTCAATGCCAAGAGGATGTCTATAGTGAGAATGTTAATGTTAAACTTGCAGGGGAGAAATACCCTTACTTTAATCTGCTCACATAATCACCATTTCTGGCAGATTGATGTATACTTATGAAGTTTCTAGGGGGAAAAAAAGACCACAGACAAAATTAGTGTTATAGAATCTGGCAGACACCAGAGCACTTTGAGCTTTTAAATGTCAGGTGAGGGTGTCTTAAGGTGAAACTATTTCTGGAAATGATGTGTGAAAGCTAAGGAGTAATACAATGTATTTCCTTACAACTATGAATACTTATACCTTTAGATAATTTTTAAAACAGGCAAAAAAATTCACTTTAATAAAATATGATAACCTTTTACAATATTGCTGTTGGGTCTTCATAGGTTGATTCTTTTACTCTGGCCTAATTTTAACAATTCTCCACATATTTTCTTACCTTCGTGACATGGAAACTACCTCGTATAATGAGCATAAATGAAAGAGAGAGCAATCAAGAAAGAAAGTATTAAGTACATGGGCCAACGCAAATTTGAGAGACCAGAAACAGTTCTAATGGATCTGACAATTTTGTAATTCTAGAAATACCCTTTGCAACTGCTTCAGAAGATGCTTTGTTTAAAACTAGACTATTTCCTTTGCTTAAATTTAAACAGTAGAATGTCCGACTGAGATGTTAAATTATTAGTGTATCTGCAAATATTCTGTATGCATGAAGTTTAAACACACAAAGTATGCATAGCCTTGCTAAGGGTCATTCCCACATCACTCAGTAAAGTGAAATGTCAAGTGAATTTATGGCAACAGAAGGCTTCTATACAATGGTTATATAGCATAATCATTTTTATTCTTGACAAACATCAGCAAGAATGTAAGTCAGCTGTGTTCTTCATAAGTAGATATATTGCTTGTTCAATATGTGATAAAAAATTTGAATATTTTTTCAGCATCTTAGTAATGTATCTCATTAAAATTAAACATAAATTATGTTTTCCATATGGGAGTCTAATTCAGTCATGATATAATGCTGAACAAATATTAAATTTAATATGTTACATGATCTTGGTGTCTGCCAAAATTCATCAACAGTGGGATGAAACACAGATATCACCCATCCATTAAAACAACCCATGTCCTTTTATGCCTTCTTCCGTCCATCTGTGTAGTCTGCGACAATTGCAGCTATATTATATATGGCCATTTCCTCTTCCTATCTCTTATTTGATAGCTGATAAGCTGCAGCTTCAGGAGAAGGAGATGTGTGTACATAAAAGCATATTTCAGACATGAAAATATGTTTGATTGGTAAAAGAATGGATGTTGGTTCATGTGAGGTGAGGCTTTGTGCATGAGCAATGAGTGGGTAAGATGGCAGGAGTAGAGGAAATAGGATCATAGGGAAGAAGCAAAGACATATTAAAGGTAAATTTGTAGTTTTGAATTTTAGTGATTAATGGAATTGGTGCTATTAATAGAAATACCAAATCAAGGGACAAAAAATAATTAGGTTTGGGATATATACTTTAGGAGCAATGAAGAGAACATTCATGTAGAGATTTCTCAAGCAAAGTAGTACCCTGGCTATGTTTCTGTCGATTGATCTATGCTAGATAGAAATACAATCTGGGATTCTTGTCTCTACCCTAATGAGAGGTGAGGGTGAGGAGGGTTTTCGCAGTTGGACTTGTGGAAATACACAAGATTGTCAAGTGAGAGAGAAGGACACAAATGGTAATTTAGAGAAAAGAAAAGTAAGAAGAATGGCCAGGTAAGAGTATAATTAGAATACCTGGCCTTACATTATAAGAAAGGAGAAATGACAAGAAGAAGGCAAAAGGAAGGTTAGAATAGGAACTTAAAGTGTTTATTTTAGTGACATACAGCTGTCAGTATGCTGTAAACTTTTTACAATCTAATGAAAAACATAATTACATTCATGCATTAAACAAATATTTATTGTATCTTCTGTGAAATGCACAGTGAAATCACTGGGAGTATAATGGTGCTAAACAGAAGGAATCTATTTTTCTAGAACTAATGTTTTAGAAAGGAGAGATGGGCAGCAAATAAATAATAATTGGTAATCACGGACACAGATCTTGGTACTAATTTAAATTTATATAAATATGCAACATATAATTGGTAGAATGGTTACTATAAACATGTAAGTATTTAGTAGAAGATAAAATACAATGTCAGCAATAAATGCAATTACTTTCATTGAGCAGAAGTATGAGAAATACATGAAATTGTATGTTGGGAAAAAAGAAACTTTATGACAATCAAAGAAGGCATTATGCAAGGTAGATCTTAAAGGGCTTTCTATTGCACTTAGAATCCAAATTCCTTACCATGGCATAGATGATTTTCCACATCCTACCTTTCCACACTTCCTCTGCCCCCTGGATTTCAGTCGCCCTGGCTTTCTTTCTGTTTCTGGAGCATACTGTGCCTATGTTCACCGTAATGTCTTTGTACTTGCTATTTCTTCTGACTGGAATGCCCTTTCTCAGCCTTTTACATGGTTGACTTCTTTTAATTATCAATTATCACCTATCATTTTTCTCCATGAGTTACTTTCTATCATATCCCTCTATTTATGGCCTACTCATTTACTGCAGAGGATGTATTACAATTATCAATTATTTATTTATATGTTTGCTTGACTTTATTTTTATATGTATTTACTTGCTTACTTCCTCATATTCTGTCTTTCTGCTGTAGAATGAAGAGACTATGTACCTTGTCTTACTTCTTGCTGATTAGCCAACATTTGATGCATAAATCAATGAATGAATAAATGAACTGACATACAAGAGGTTTTTAAGCTTAGAAATTCGCAGAACATTGCAAGGCTTATATTATAGTGTTCTACGTGGAAGTGGAATAAATGTTCATCATAGAAATTTTAGAAGACATAAAAAAGAGATGACAAAAGTCATTCATTATACTACTGATAGGAGATTATTATCTTTTAGAGTTTCTGCATTTACTTCCTTTTGCTGGACACACAGCTTCACATAGTTACAGTTGAATATTTTATTTGTTACCTAGTACATTGCATAATCATTCACATGTCATTAGAAATCTGATCCTAATTATTATTATGTTGGCTGTGCATTGTTCCACAATATAGCGTTTTCATACATAATTTATTTTGTTTTGTTTGATGGTTGCTATAATTTTCATTTTAATAAAATTTTACTGGCATCTTGACACATAATTTACCTATAACTCATCAAATTATTACAATCAATTTCTAGTAGTAGAAATACATAGTTAATTCTAGCATGAGCTTATCATGATGATGCTTAGGTACTTGATCCACAGTGCCAAATTTCCTCCCAGAAAATTAAAGCAACCTATGTTTATACCAGTGACATAAAAATGTTGATTTTCTCATGGTCACTGACATCTGAAATAGCCTTATTTATAATATATTCTAATTGTAAATGATATCTCAAAATGGTATCAAAGAATTTGCAAGTTTATACTTATTTTTTTATGTTCCAGGGTGCAAGTGCAGAATGTGCAGGTTTTTTATACAGGTAAACGTGTGCCATGGTGGTTTGCTGCACCTGTCAACCCATCACCTAAGTGTTATGCCCAGCATGCATTAGCTCTTTTCCCTAATGCCCTCCCTGCCTTGCCCTCCCTCAGCAGGTTCCAGTGTATGTAGTTCTCCTGCCTGTGTCCATTTGTTCTCATTGTTCAGCTCCCACTTAGAAGTGAGAACATGAGGTGTGTGGTTTTCTGTCCCTGAGTTAGTTTGCTGAGGATAATGGCTTCAAGCTTCATTCATGTCCCTGCAAAAGATATGATTTCATTCCTTTTCATAGCTGCGTAGTATTCCATGACGTATATGTACCACATTTTCTTTATCCAGTCTATCATTGATAGGCATTTGATTCCATGTCTTTGCTATTGTAAATAGTGCTGCAATGAACATACATGTGCATGTATCTTTGTAATAGAATGATTTATATTCCTTTGCGTATATACCCACTAATGGGATTGCTGGGTCAAATGGTATTTCCAGTTCTAAATATTTGAGGAATCACCACATTGTCTTCCACAATGGTCGAACTATTTTACATTGCCACCAGCAGTGGAAAAGCATTCCTATTTCTCCACGACCTCACCAGCATCTGTTGTTTCTTGACTTTTTAATAATCGCCATTCTGACTGGTGTGAGATGATATCTCATTGTAGTTTTGATTTGCATTTCTCTAATGATCAGTGATATTGAGCTTCTTTTCATGTTAGCTGCATGTATGGTCTTTTTTTTTTCTTGAGAAGTGTCTGTTCCTATCCTTTGCCCACATTTTAATAATGTTATTTGTTTTTTTCTTGTAAATTTGCTTAAGTTCCTTGTAGATTCTGGATATTAGACCTTGTCAGATAGATAGATTGAAAAAATTTTCTCCCAATCTGTAGGTTGTCTGTTTGCCCTGATGATAGTTTCTTTTGCTATGCAAAAACTCTTTCATTTAATTAGATCCCATTTGCCAATTTTTCCTTTTTTTTGCAATTGCTTTTGGCAATTTCATCATAAAATCTTTGCCCATGCCTATGTCTTAAATGGTATTGCCCAAAATTTCTTCTAGGGTTTTAATGGCTTTGGTTTTACATTTAAGTCTTTAATCCATGTTGAGTTAATTTTTGTATAAGGTATAAGGAAGAAACCCAGTTTCAATTTTCTGCATGTGGCTTGTCAGTTCTCCCAGCACCATTTATTGAATAGGGAATCCTCTCCTCACTGTTTGTTTCTGTCAGGTTTTTCAAAGATCAGATCGTTGTAGGTGTGTGGCCTTATTTCTGGGTTCTCGATTCCATTCTACTGGTCTATGTGTCTGTTTTTGTACCAATACCATGCTGTTCTGGTTACTGCAGCCTTGTAGTACGGTTTGAAGTCGGGTAACATGGTGCCTCCAGCTTTGTTCTTTTTGCTTAGGACTGTCCTGGCTTTATGAGCTCTTTTTTGGTTCCATAAAAATTTTTAAATAGTTTTTTTCTAATACTGTGAAGAATGTCAATTGTAGTTTAATGGGAATAGCATTTAATCTATTAATTGCTTTGGGCAATATGACAATTTTCATGATACTGATTCTTCCTATGAATGAGTATGTAATGTTTCTCCATCTACTTGTGTCCTCTCTGATTTCCTTGAGTAGCAGTTTGCAGTTCTCTTTGAAGAGGTCCTTCATTTCCCTTGTTAGTTGTATTCCCAGGTATTTTATTCTTTTTGTGGCAATTATGAATGGGAGTTCATTCATGATTTGGCTCTCTGCTTGCCTGTTGTTGGTGTATAGGAATGCTTGTGATTTCTGCACATTGATTGTGTATCCTGAGACTTTACTGAAGTTGCTTATCAGCTAAAGAAGCTTTTGGGCTGAGTCAATGGGGTTTTCTAGATATAGGATCATGTCATCTGCAAACAAAGACAATTTAACTTCCTCTCTTCCTATTTAAATATCCTTTATTTCTTTCTCTTGCCTGATTGCCCCGGCCAGAACTTCCAATACTATGTTGAATAACAGTGGTGAGAGAGGGCATCCTTGTCTTGTGCCAGTTTTCAAAGGGAATGCTTCCAGCTGTTGCCCTTTCATTATGATATTGGATCTGGATTTGTCATAAATGGCTCTTGTTTTGAGGTATGTTCTTTCAATACCTAGTTTATTGAGAGTTTTTTTTTTTTAACATGAAAGGATGTTAAATTTTATCCAAGGCCTTTCCTGCGTCTATTGAGATATTCATATGGTTTTCGTCTTTAGTTCTGTTTATGTGAGGAATTATGCTTACTGATTTGCGTATGTTGAACCAGCCTTGCATTCTGGGGATGACACTGACTTGATTGTGCTAAATAAGCTTTTTGATGTGCTACTGGATTCAGTTTGTCCTATTTTATTGAGGATTTTTGCATAAATGTTCATCAGGGATGTCGGCCTGAAGTTATCTTTTTTTGTTGCATCTCTGCTAGGTTTTGATGTCAAGATGATGCTGGCCTCATAAAATGAGTTAGGGAGTAGTCTCTCCTGTTCAATTGTTTGAAATAGTTTCAGAAGAAATGGTACCAGCTCCTCTTTGTACCTCTCGTAAAATTCAGCTGTAAATCCATCTGGGCCTGGGCTTTTTTTGATTGGCAAGCTCTTTATTAGCACCTGAATTTCAGAACTTGTTATTGGTCTATTTGGGGATTCAACTTCTTTGTGCTTCAGTCTTGGGAGGGTATATGTGTCCAGAAATTTATCCATTTCTTCTATGTTTCCCAGTTTATTTGCATAAAGGTGTTTATAGTATTCTCTGATGGCTGATTGTGTTTCTGTGGGGTCATTGGTGGTATCTCCCTTATCGTTTCTCATCGTATATTTGAATCTTCTCTCTTTTCTTCTTTATTACTCTCACTTGTGGTCTATTTTATTGATTTTTTCAAAAAACCAGTTCCGGTATTTGTTAATTTTTGAAGGGTTTTTTGAGTCTCTGTCTCCTTCAGTTCCACTCTGAGCTTGGTTATTTCTTGTCTTCTCCTAGCTGTGGGATTTCTTTGCTCTTGGTTCTCTAGTTATTTTAGTTGTGATATTAAGGTGGTTGATCTGAGATCTTTCAGGCTTTTTGATGTGGTCATTTAGTGCTATAAATTTTTCTTTTTTTTTTTTTTTCTGAGATGGAGTCTCACTCTGTCACCCAGGCTGGAGTGCAGTGGTGCAATCTCAGCTCACTGCAAGCTCCGCCTCCCAGGTTCACACCATTCTCCTGCCTCAGCCTCCTGAGTAGCTGGGATTACAGGTGCCTGTAATTTTTTGTATTTTTAGTAGAGATGGGGTTTCACCATGTTAGCCAGGATGGTCTCGATCTCCTGACCTTGTGATCCGCCTGCCTCAGCCTCCCAAAGTGCTGGGATTACAGGGGTGAGCCACCGCACCCAGCCATAAATTTCCCTCTTAACACTGCTTTAGCTGCTTCCCAGAGATTCTGGTCCATGTCTCTTTGTTCTCATTGGTCTCAAATAACTCCTTGATTTCTGCCTTAATTTCATTATTTACCTGGTAGTCATTCAGGAGCAGGTTGTTCAATTTCTATGTAGTTGTGTGGTTTTGAGTTGGTTTCTTAATATTGAGTTTTAATTTGATTGTGCTGTGGTCTGATGGACTGTTTCTTATGATTTCAGTTGTTTTGCATTTGGTGAGGAGTGTTTTACTTCCAATTATGTGATCAATTTCACAGTAAGTGCTATGTGGAGTTCATAAAAATATATATTCTGTTGTTTTGGGGTGGAGAGTTCTGTAGATATCTATTAGGTCCACTTGGTCCAGAGCTGAGTTCGAGTCCTGATTATCTTTGTTAATTTTCTGTTTCAATGATCTCATACTGACAGTAGGGCATTACATTCTCCCACTATTATCGTGTGGGGGTCTAAATCTTTTTGTAGGTCTTCAAGGATTTGTTTTATGAATCTGAGTGCTCCTGTATTGGGTGCATATATATTTAGGATAGTTAGCTTTTCTTGTTGAATTAAACCTTACGCCATTATGTAATGTCTTTCTTTGTCTTTTTTTGATCTTTGTTGGTTTAAAGTCTATTTTGTCAGAAACTAGGATTGCAACTCCTGTTTTTTTCTTCTTTCTATTTGTTTGGTAAATCTCCCTCCATCTTTTTATTTTGAGCCTATATGTATCTCTGCACATGAGATGTGTCTCTTGAATACAACATGCTGATGGGTCTCGCCTTTTTATCCAGCTTGCCGTTCTTTGTATTTTAATTGGGGCATTTAGCCCATTTACATTTAAAGTTAATATTGTTACCTTTGAATTTGATCCTGTCATCATAATGTTGGCTGGTTAATTTTCAGACTTGTTAATGTAATTGCTTCATAGTGTTGTTGGTCTGTGTACTTCAGTGTGTTTCTGTAGTGGCTGGTAACACTTTCTCCTTTTCATGCTTAGTGCTTTCTTCAGAAGCTCTTGCATGGCAGGCCTGGTGGTGATGAAGTCCCTCAGCATTTGCTTGCCTGAAAAGGATTTTATTTGTCCTTCACTTACGAAGCTTAGTTTGGCTGGATATGAAATTCTGGATTGGGAGCTATTTTCTTCAAGGATATTGAATATTGGCTCCCAATCTCTTCTGACTTGTAGGCTTTCCACTCAGAAGTCCACTGTTAGTCTGATGGGTTTCCCTTTTTAGGTTACCTGGCCTTTCTCTCTGACTGCCCTTAACATTTTTTCCTGTATTTTGACCTTGGAGAATGTGAAGGTTATGTGTCTTGCAGTAGATCTTCTCGTGGAATATCTTACTGGGTTTCTCTGGATTTTCTGAATTTTAATGTTGGCCTGTCTTGCTAGGTTAAATAAATTCTCCTGGATAGTATCCTTAAGTGTCTTTTCCAACTTGCTTCCATTCTCCCTGTCTCTTTCAGGTACTTCAGTGAGTTGCAGGTTTGGTCTTTTTACATAGTCCCATAGTTCTCAGAGGTTTGTTTTCTATTATTATTCCTTTTCTTTATTTTTTCTATAATCTTTTCTTCCTGCCTTATTTCAGCAAGATGGCCTTCAAGCTGTGATAGTCTCTCTTCTGCCTGGTCAATTCAGCTATTGATACCTGTGTTTGCATCACAGAGTTCTCGTGCTATGTTCTTCAGCTCCATCAGGTCATTTATGTTCCTCTCTAAACTGGTTATTCTAGTTAACAGATTCCTGTAATCTTTTATCATGGTTCTTAGTTTCTTTGCATTGGGTTAGAACATAATCCTTTAGTTCAGCGAAGTTTATTATTATCCACTTTCCGAAGCCTACTTCTGTCAGTTCACCCATCTCAACTTCATCCCCGTTCTGTGGCCTTGCTGGAGAAGTGTTTGGAGAAGAAGAGGCATTTCTGGCTTTTGAAATTTTCAGCATTTTTGCTTGGTTTTTCCTTATTTTCATGGATTTATCTATCTTTAATCTTGGAGGCTGTCAATCTTCGGATAGGGTTTGTATGGGGTTTTTGTTGATGCTGCTGCTGTTGTTGCTTTCTGTTTGTTTTTCTTCTAACAGTCACGGTCCTCCTCTGCAGGTCTGCTGCAGTGTGCTGGGGGTCTACTCCAGATCCTGTTCACCTGGATATCACCAGTGGAGGCTGTAGAACATCAAAGATTGCTGCCTGCTCCTACCTCTGGAAGCTTCATCCCAGAGGGGCACCGACCTGATGCCAGCCATAACTCTCCTGTATGAGGTGTCTGGTGACCCCTGTTGGGAGGTCTCACCCAGTCAGGAGGCACAGGATGAGGGACCCACTTAAGGAAGTAGTTTGTATATCTTTTAGCAGAGCCGTTGTGCTGTGCTGGGGGAGTCCCCCTCCTCTAGATCGGCCAGCAGACGGGAAAGATTAAGCCCACTGAACTTGACACCTTGGCCGCTCCTCCTGCCACGTGCTCTGTCCCTGGCAGAGGACAATTCTGTCTGTAAAGGCCTGGCTGGAATTGCTGGAATTCATGTGTGAGGCCCTGCCCAGTGAGAAGGGATGAATCTGGGTCCCACCTAAAGAAGCAGTCTGGCCGTGATCTGCCACAGCTGCTGTGCTACGCTGTGGGGAGTACCACCCAGTCCAAACATCCCAGTCTCCGTAGCACTAGCTGGAGAGAACTGCCTACTAGAGCCACAGTAGTGGCGGTCACCCCTCCCACCATGAACTCGGTAGTCTTAGGCAGACTCCAGGCTGCTGTGCTGGCCAGCAGGGATTTCAACCCAGTGGGTCTCAGCTTGTGGGGTTCTGTGGGCGTGGGACCCTCTGAGTGAGGATGTTTGGCTCTCTGGCTTCAGTCCCTTTTCCATGACAGTGGACAGTTCTCCTGTTTATATTTCTTTTAATGTTATTGGAATGAGGTTGATCATCTGTAAAGTGATTATCAACCATTTATATTACAACATATTTATTTATTATATTGCTCATCATTAATTCAATCTTATAAATAAAAACTATTAACACCTTCTAAGCCCAGTAGAGAGCCCTGAAGAAAGTTAGCCCTAAAAAAGCAAGCTAGATAAATAAGAATGAAATTATTGAATCTTACTCCATGTCACATAGTTGTCATATGTGATAAAGACGTTAATGGAGGATACCACTGGACAAAATACCTCACACAGCCCTAAAGGTCAAGGAATGCTTTGTAAGGGGAATGGCATATAATGGATATCTTGAAGGACAATTAATATAGTGCAGAGGTGAGTGAAGGGTGGGGCAGTGATTCAAGTTGAGAAGGTTGCAAGTGCAAAGAGCCGAAGGAATAGGAATCTGATGTGGATACAGCTTATCAGGATTGCAGTGCGCTAGAACACCGACCAGAGAGAAACTGCAGAGAACTGGTGAAGTGAGATCTTGAAGAGGACTGTCTTATGCAATGGAGTTAGCACTGACCCTAGTGGCAGTGGGGAGCAAGAGAAGGGGTTTCTGTTGTTAGATCAGTGGGCTCACTCTGGCTAACAAAAGGGCAAGACTAGAAGCATACTACATGTCTCAAGCAGTCCGGATGAGAAGATAATATTAGACTGATAGTTGTAGTTGAAAATATATAGTATGGAGTAACAGATGACATCCAGGTTTGTGGCTGAATCTACATTGTAGATGAACATTTATGACATTGAAGACAGACACAAAAAGAAAAAAGAAGAAAATCATGCAATACATTTTTAAATTTACTTTTTCAATGGTAAGGATGTAAGTGAGGAAGAAGCATGAGCGAAGTAATAAATATAAGAGCAAGTAGGCTATAATGGGTTCTGTTTGGGGCATGTGAATTTGAAGTATATGGGGGTGCTTCATATAAAAATATGAAACAGACCATGAACTATTGAGTTCTGAAGCTGTAGAGGTAAGTTGGAATTGGGAGTAAAGAAAAGGAAAGAAAAAGTCATCAATACATAGATAGTAATGGTAGCCATAAAGAAAATGGCATGGCTCCCTGAGAGTGCCACTTCCTACCAGGAGTCTCAGACTCAAATTCCTCCTGGGCTCTGACATTTTGTAAAGTGATGTATAGAAAGGAGACAGATCATATAACTCTAAAATTGTGAAAGTTTAACTGACATCCAGTGGAAGATAATACAGCAAAGAGGAATAGAAGCAGAGCCTATAAATCTACATATCTATTAGAGAGAAAAATTTGAATTTTGAAAGGTTAAAGTGATAATAACCGACAGGAATGTAGAATTTTCATACAACTGGCTGAGAGATGAACACTTGTAGTTTTCATTGCTTATGCATCCTGGGTGCTACAGTTTGCCTTGATATGTAGTAGCAACTTGCCACCCTAAAATAGACCCAGGACTTTTTCCCCAACCCCAACTTCATTTTTATCATTACGCTCTTACCTGGTTGGACATTCAGCAGTCACTGCTTGGACCAAAGAGAGAGAAACACCACACATTACACCTTGTACATACCAGTTCCTCTACCTATTCAGGAGAAGGCTGAACAGAGAGCTTCACAAATTTTCTGCAGTATCTCTTGCCTCTCAACTTTAGTCACACTCCTAATAAAATACTGAAAGTATGACACAGAGGAGCTTGCTAATTTCAATAGAGCTCCTTCAACAGAAGTTTGAAGGCAGCAGAGATTTGGGGATAGAACTAGTCCTGCTAATATTAACATTTCAAGTTCTATTTTACTGTTCAACATGACATACGCCTGAACAGTAAGAATACTTAAAAGGCACTAATAGATTAATTAGAAGATCATTCGGTTATTGAGCTGCGGTGGACATTTTTTACTGAATCTGTTAATAAAATTGCCTAATAAAAAGCCAATAATTAAAAACAGATTTAATATCCCTATAGAACATTGCTCCCCAAAATCGCAGCCCTGGTTAAATTACTATTATCAGTGCAGATCATAGCCAATAAATAATAAGAATTTAGAATCCTTTATCATCTTCTAACCTGTATAAGAAGGGCAAAATTTGAAGCAGAATACAATTTCTGAACATGTAAGTGGAATTGTACGAATTAGAGCCTCATTTTTATTTCTCATTTTGTAGATTACTTAATGATATAATGGTATTACCATTTTCATTGTACCTTGGATCATTTGAGTTTGTGATGTTAAAAGTCAAAAATTGCATTTAAGAGAATATATTAAACATAGAAGACTATTAAAAGTGAAAATAATGTATTTTTTATGCAAGTGGTAAATTTTTTATTTTAATGACGGTCTAGTGATAACATTTTTGTAGCAAAAATTTCAAAATTGAAATTGATAGGATTTAAAATAATGTAGTTTGGCTTTCTTTCTTCCTAGCTGGATGCCTGTAATTTCTTTCTCTTGCCTAATTTCTCTAGCCAGGACTTACAACACTATGTTGAATAGGAGTGGTGAGAGAGAGAGCATCCTTGTCCTCTTCCAGTTTTCAGGGAAATGCTTCCAGCTTTTACCCATTCAGTATGATCCTGGTTGTGGGTTTGTCATAGATGGCTCTTATTATTTAGAAGTAAGTTTCTTTATTGCCTAGTATATTGAGGGTTTTTAACATGCAGGGATGTAAAATTTTATCAAAAGCCATTCTTGCACCTACTGAAATAATCTGGTTTTTTTTTTAGTTCTGTTGATGTGATGAATGACATTTATTGATTGGCAAATGTTGAACCAACCTTATGTCCCAGGAATGAAGTCTACTTGATCATGATGCATTAGCTTTCTAATGTGCTGCTGGATTCGGTTTTATAGTACCTTGTTGATGATTTTTAATTCATCAAGAATACTGGTCTTAAATTTTCTTTTATGTTGCATCTCTGCCAGGTTTTGGTATCAGGATAATGTTGGCCACACAGAATGAGTTATGGAGGAGTCCTTCCTCCTCAATTTTTTGTAATAGTTTCAGTAGGATTGGTACCAGCTTTTTTTTATACATCTCTAGGTAGAATTAAGCTGTGAATTCCTCTAGTGCTGGCTTTCTTTGGTGAGTAGGCTGTTTTATTGATTCAATTTTGGAACTCATTACTGGTTGGTTAAGACATTCGATTGCTTTCTGGTTCAGTTTAGGAGGTTGTATGTGTCCAGGAATTTATTCATTTTTTTCTAGCTTTTCTAGTTTGTGTTCAAAAACTTGTTTATAGTAGTCTCTGAGAAATTTTTGTATTTATTTGGGGTCGGTGGTAATATCCCCTTTGTCATTTCTGATTGTGTTTATTTGGAACATGCCTCTTTTTTTTCCCTTATTACTCTAGCTAGCACTCTATCTTATTAATGTTTTCAATTAACAAACTCCTAGATTTGTTGATTATTTGTATAGCTCTTCTCATCTCAATTTCCTTCAGTTTAGCTCTGATTTTGGTTATTTCTTGTCTTCTGCTAGCTTTAGAGTTGGTTTGCCCTTATTTCTCTATTACCTCTAGATGTGATGTTAAATTGTTAATTGGAGACCTTTCTAACTTTTTAATGTGGGCGTTTAGTGCTATATACATCCCTGTTTGTAGATGTTATGATTCTACACACAGAAACCCCATAGTCTCTGCAGAAAAGCTCCCTGAAATTACCAACAACTTTAGCAAAGTTTTGGGATACAAAATCGACGTGCAAAAGTCAGTTCCACTCCTATAAACCAAGAACATCTAAGTTTAGAGCCAAATCTGGAAAATAATCCCATTCACAATTGCCACAAAAAGAATAAAATGCCTAGGAATATAGCTAACCAGGAAAAGGAAAGCTCTCCACAATGAGAATTTTAAAACACTGCTCAGAGAAATCAAAGATGACACAAATAGTGGAAAAACATTCCATGCTCATAGACAGGAAGAATCAATATCATCAAAATGGCCATATTGCATAAAGCCATTTATAAATGTAATGCTCTTCCTATTAAACTACCAGTGACATTCTTCACAGAATTAGGACAATAAATACAATTCATATGGATCCAAAAAAGAGTCCAAATAGGCAACACAAATCTAAGAAAAAAGGACCAAGGTAGAGGAATCACAAACTATACTACAAGGCTATGGTAATCAAAACAGCATGGTACTGGTAGAAAAGTAGACACATAAACCAATGGATCAGAACAGAGTCCAGAAATAATGCTACACACCTACAACCACCTGAACTTTGAAAAAGCTGACAAAAACTAGTAATAGAGAAAGAACTCCCTATTCAATAAACTGTGCTAGGATAACTGGCTAGCCATAGGCAGAAGATTGAAATTGGACCCCTTCCTTACGTCATATACAAAAATCAACTCAAGAGAAATTAAAGACTTAAATGTAAAACCTAAAACTATAAAAAAAAAAAAAAACCCTGGAAGATAACCTAGGAAAAAACATTCTGGGCATAGAACTTGGCAAAAATTTCATGATGAAGATGTCAAAAGCAACTGCAACAAAAAGAAAAATTGGCAATTATTACCTAATTAAACTAAAGAGCTTCTGCACAGCAAAAGAAACTATCAACAAACAGAAAACCTACAGAATGGCAGAAAATATTTGCAAACTATGCATCTGACAAAGGTCTAATATTCAGAATCTATAATAAATAAATGTACAAGCAAAAAACAAACAAACCCATTAATAAGTGGGCAAATGACATGAACAGACATCTTTCAAAAGAAGACATACATGTGGCCATCAAGCATATGAAAAATGTTCAACATCACTAGTCATCAGAGAAATGCAAATCAAAACCACAATGACATATTATATCATACCAGTCAGAATGACCGTTATTAAAAAGTGAAAAAAAAAACATGCTAATGAGGTTGCAGAGAAAAAGGAACACTTATTATACACTGGTGGTGGGAAAGTAAGTTATTTCAGCCATTGTAGAAAGCAGTGTGGCAATTTCTCAAAGAACTTAAAACAGAACTTTTATTCAACCCAGTAATCCCATTTTGGGGTATATACCCAAAAGAATATAACTTGTTCTGTCATGAAGACACATGCACATGTATGTTTATTACAGCACTATTCAAGACAGCAAAGACAAAAAATCAACCTGAATGCCCATGAACGGTAGACTGCATTAAAAAATATGATGCATATACACCATGTAATACTACACAGCCATTAGAAAGAAAGAGACCATGTCCTTTGCAGCAACATGGATGAAGCTGGAGACCATTATCCTGAGAAAACCAACACAGGAACAGAAAACCATATACTGTATGTTCTCATTTATAGGTGGGAGCTAAACAATGAGAACACAAAGAGGGGAACAAAAGACATTGCAGCCTAGTTGTAGGTGGAGGGCGTGAGGAGTGAGAGGATCAAAAAAATAATAATAAACCTATCAGGTACTATGCTTATTACCTACGTGACTAAATAATCTGTATACTAAACCCCAGTGACAGGTAGTTTACTTATATAACAATCCTGTACATGTACCCCTAAACCTAAAAGTTAAAAAAATAATAATGTTGCTGCTGCTGCTATATAAAAAAATTAACTTTACAACCATTCTGAAACTGGGTATACTGGTACATAATTAATAAATAAATATAGTATTTAGATTGTTATTGACCTAAAATATGTTTCTATACATCACTTATTTTCATCTATTTTAATATTTTTAAGCTTTCCTAAGATGTATTGTTTATTAATACAAAGAATTCTCACCTTTCACTCATATTATGAAGTACTCATTGAATGGTTTTATATGCCATTAGACATATCTTCCTTTTGGTAGAAAATAAATGGGTTTAATAAACTATGACAACTGTTCCTAAAGCAAGGGATAGTAAATCTCTGTATGGACCTTCTCAGAAAATAAATTAGATCTATAGCAAGAAGAAAAAAGAACATAAAAAGTGGAGTTGGGGGGAGGTTGGAGGGATAGCATTAGGAGATATACCTACTGTAAATGACTAGTTAATGGGTGCAGCACACCAACATGGCACATGTATACATGTGTAACAAACCTGCATGTTGTACATACATACCCTAGAACTTAAAGTATAATAAAAATATATATATATGTAAAAGAATTGTTCACCATTTTAAAAGTATTATTTCTATTTTTTAAAATAAAAAATATGGTCATCTAGGAAAAAAAGAAAAAAAGAAATTCAAAATTACTTTTATAAAATCACTCTTTATTTTAAAATTATGCTTGCCTGCATTATTGTTGCTTAATATGTCCATAAGTAAATAGAGGAATCTGACCCTTGGTGTCTCAAATGAAATAAGATACCCACCATTAGATATTAATATTGAAAATACTGTAGGCAGAAGGGTCATAACAGGATACCACCTCTGGTGTTTCATTGCTGCCCCCGAGCAAGTAACAAAATGGATCAGAACATATTTTACCTTTAAAAAGTTGCCAAATCGCCTGAGATTTTGCAGTGAGTTGTGGGCAAACCCATTCTACAAGCTCTCTTTTTTAAGAAAACTTTACTGCCCTGGGAGGCTGAGACTGTTCAGACAACCCAATAATCCTACATTTGGCCCAGGCCAGAATATGTCAGTGGCAGGATGTGTCTTTGTGTTGTTTTGTACAGGGAATGAAAGAATAGCTAAAACCGGTTGGGTGTGGTGGCTCATGCCTGTAAGCCCAGCACTTTGGGAGGCTGAGGTGGGCAGGTCCCCTTAGGTCAGGAGTTCGACCAGTCTAGCCAACTTGTTGAAACCCTAGCTCTACTAAAAATACAAAAATTAGCTGGGCATGGTGGTGAGTGCCTGTAATCCCAGCTACTTGGAAGGCTGAAGCAGGAGAATCACTTGAACCCAGAAGGTGGAGGTTGCAGTGAGCCCAGATGGTGCCACTGCACTCCAGCCTGGGCAACAGAGTGAGACTCGATCTCAAAAAAAAAAAAAAAAAGAAAGAAAGAAAGAACAGTTAAAACCCTTGAAAATTCCTACTTATTCCTGTAGTATTTAAGGCTGTGGGGGAGTTAAACAATGCCATAACAGGCCTACTGAAGCTGAGCCCAAGCTCTTAAGTTAAAATATAATAACATTTCATTGTAAAATTATGGTGGAAAGTAAAGTTGTATTTGACTAAAACATTTTATTTTGAATTAATTTTATATATTTTAGAGAATATATAAGCCTGGGTAAATTATGTGCAATGTGCTATTCTGATAAATTATTAATTAACCCAAAGTCCTGTCCAATCTTGAGAAAATTCAAGATTTAGAAAATCTTCAGAAAATTATCTGACCAAATTTTGTACATCTGCATCTGTGACTCGAACTATGCAATTAAAAATATACAATATACTCACCTGACCCTTGATGATGGTATTTTCCCAAGCCTTGTGTGACCTTCAGATTAAAGGTTTATACCTATGGAAATCTATCAGAGATAACGGGACATAGATATTCAATGGGGGTGTTATATTTTATTTGTGCTATAAAATAAAGATTATTTCAAAGCAATGGCATCTAAAGATCATCCAAGTACTTGAAATTTTTTGAAAGCACTTTCCAAACATGAACTAAGAATGCAGTGGTCCTCCGTTTCTAAACCAGCACTGTTCTGGTCTTTCTCAGCGTCTAGTTATATGGCTCATCCCTTTATTCACAAGACTAATAGCATGTTTGGAGGTTGTAGCAGGCAAGCACAGCCACTCGTATATCCTTTATTGAAGACTGGTCCTCCTCTATCAAGGATGGCTGTTCTCTTCAACCAAACACGCAGGTTCAGTAGGGACACACATGGAGTGGTGAGGAAGGAAGGAGACACCCATCTAGCCAGATGAGCCGAATCAACGGTGATCAGTGGGGTCAACTGGTGATCTGTGGGGTGACAGCTGTCACACCCAGATTTCATGAGAAACACACCAAAAGCAATTGCAACAAAAGCAAAAATTGACAAATTGGATCTAATTAAACTAAAGAGCTGCTGCACAGTAAAAGAACTATCAACAGAATAAACAGACAACCTAAAGAATGGAAGAAAATTTTTTCAAACTATGCATCTGACAAAGGTCTAATGTCCAGCATCTACACAGAACTTAAACAAAGCTACAAGAATAAAAACAAACAACCCCATCCAAAAATAGGCAAAATACATGAATACTTTTCAAAAGAAGACATACATGTGACCAAAACATACGAAAGAAAAACTCAGTATCACTGATCATTAGAAAAATGCAAATCAAAAACACAATGAGATACCATCTCACTGTGGCTATTATTGAAAGTCAAAAAATAGCAGGTGCTGGTGGGGTTGTGGAGAAAAATAATGCTAATATGTTGTTGGTGGGAGTGTAAATTAGTTCACCCATTGTGGAAAGCAGGGTGGCGATTCCTCAAAGATCTAAAAACAGAACTACTATTTGATCTAGCAATCCCATAACTGCGTTTATACCGAAATGAATATAAATTGTTCTATCATAAAGACACATGTATGCGTATGTTCATTGCAGCACTAGATACAATAGCAAAGACATGGAATCAAACTGAATGCCCATAAATGGTATACTGAATAAAGAAAATCTACATATACATCATGGAATACTATGCAGCTACAAACAAGAATGAGATCATGTCCTTTGAAGGAACATAGATGGAGCTGGAGGCCATTATCCTTGGCAAACTAACACAGCAACAGAAAACCAAAAACCGTATGTTCTCATTTTATAAGTGGGAGCCAAATGATGAGAAGACATGGACATAGAGAGAACAGACACTGTGGCCTACTTGAAGGTGGAGGGTGGAAGGATGGAGAGAATCAGGAAAAATAACTAATAGATATTAGGCTTAATACCTGGATGACAAAATAATCTGTACAACAAAACCCCATGGCTTGGGTTTACCTATATAACACTCTGCACATGTACCACTGAACCTAAAATAAGTGTTAAAAATAAATAAAGCGAGATTGATAATGGAGAAGATATTTCATTTACAGTACAATTAGAAAAACTTGAACTAATGGATTTAATCTAGAAAATTTTCATTGTGAGGCCTTCATAGGTTGTAATTTAAAAAATTTCCATTGATATATAGAAAGTGATAACCTGCATATTCACTCAATCCAAAATATTATCTACCATAATTAAAATATTATCTAACATAATTATAATAAATACAGCATAATTAAGGTATAATTATGGTATACCTAAATATATTTAGATATTTCATACTTATTTAGGTATACCATAATTATACCTAAATTATTCTGTATCTATTTTTCTGACATTTTGGAAATTTAGGTTACATGCCAGTGATTCAAACTTTTAAGAATGATTTTTGGGGCTTAACTCTTCAAACTTCTTTTTAAATATAATTTACTTCTATGTGTTAGATGTAATTAGATGATATTTAGGAAAATATTATTTCAAAAGCTTCAATTAAAGAGTTTTAACTCAGGTTCTTGTTTTCGTTAATTGTTTTAATACATTTTTTTCAATAAAATTATATTCTATATATTTTCCATACTTCTCGGATGAATGTTGACACTGTATGCACAAATTCAAGGGAATCCTTAGAATACAATGAATAAACCAATGGAAGCACAACTCCAGAAAGACCCACTGAGTATGTGAAATAGTCATCTACATTGCTGATTCACTCTCCAATGTGTACTGATTAACAGTATTAAAGTCAGCAACATTGAAACCAAAACAGCAACCCATATATATATCCAAATACTAAGTAGATAAAAGATATCTCAACATTATTAGTAATCATCAAAATGTATAATAAAATTAAAATTATATACCAATACACACCCACTATAATGTCAAAATGGAAAAGACTAGCCAAGGGTTGGCTAGTATTTGAACGTGTGGTACTCTCACATATTGACTTGGGCATATAAATTGGTACAAATAGATTTAGATTGTTTCTAAATATTTGCTAATGCTAAACATATATCTACTCTATGACCCACAATTCCATTCCTATGTATATACTAACAGAATAGTGTTTGTGTATATATATATTTCCTAAAATAAATATGCAAAGTTATTCATAATAGCAGTATGCAGAATAGTACCTCATTGGAAATTACTCTTCAGAAAACATACCTAAAATTGTGATATATTCACTGTATTAGTCCGCTCGGGCTGCTATAACAAATAGCATGGACTGGATGGCTTAAACAACATTTATTTCCCACAGTTCTGGAGACTGGGAGGTCCATGATGCTATCAGATTTGATTCCTGAAGAGGGTGCTCTTCCTCACCAGGAAGAAGTCTGGAGAAGATGGCTGTCTTCTCACTGTGCCCTCACATGGCAGAAGAAGAGAAAGCTGTGGCCTCTCTCACACTTTCTAGAAGGACACTACTCCCATCATGGGAGCCCTACCCTCATGAATGTCATCTAAAGCTAATTGTCTCCCAAAGATCCCACTTCCAAATACCAATACATTGGGTGTTAGGGCTTCTACCTATGAATTTTGGAGGGAAATAAACATTCAGTCAATAATATTCAGGGAGTGAAAATGTATTTAACAATGATAATGAACAAATTCTATTTATGTAACACCATGGACAAATTTCACATTATAATATTGCACAAAAGAAGGTGTACTCAAAAATACGTAGTATATAATTAAAATTATATAAAGTTCAAAAACAGGAAAGGCAAACTGGTCGTGTTAGAATCAGGATTGTGGTCATCCTTGGGTAGGACAGTCACCAGAAAGAGGTACAAAGCAGGCCACTCAGATGATGGCAATACTCTGTTTCTTAATCTGTGTGCTGATTATATGGGTGAGTTCAGTTTTTGAAAATTCATCATACTGCATATTTGTGATTCATGCATTTGCCTATACCTTATAAATAGTTCAAATTTGAATTTGGTGGGGAGAGAAGCAAACATCACCATTTTTTTCCTCCAACAGCAAACCTTACTCAAACTCTCAAAAATAATTTGCCTAGAACCAATTCTTCCTTCTTGAAAATCTTCTCCATACTTCTGGAATACCATTCTTTACTGGTTTTCCTCTCACCTCTTTTACTATTTATCTTTTGTTGGGTCCTCTTCCTTCATTAAGCCTCACCTTGACTGCCATATAGTATATCACATTTCTATGAATGTAAGGAACATCTTTATGCTATTGACTCTCAAATTACATCCCAGAACAAATACCAGTACTGCATTCCATATTTATGTATCCAGCAGCTTACTCTATTTACTTGGATGCCCTATGAGCAATTAAAATTCAACAGATCCAAATGAGAGTTCTGATTCTTCTATCTAAATGTATTCATCTGTTTCCTAACTCGCCAACCACTTTTTTCCTTTTCAATAAATGGCATTGCCATCTACCCACTTTCTCAAGTCAGATATTATTTTTATACATTGATGAGATAATACTCTTAAATCATAAATTGAATCATGTCCCTCTACTCTATAAACTCATTCAATATCTTTTTATATTTTTGTGTTTTTCAAAACATCCATCTCTCCCACTATACTATGATCTCCATGATATAGAGAGAATATTTATTTTGTTGGTCAATTGCATGCCTATTATGTAACGTGCAACCTGAGAATAGGAAATCAACATCCAAACGCCTTAAAATAAAACAATGTCAGCTATACCACGAAGCACATAAAAAAGACGATTTAAGTAATAATTTAAGTGCAGATATCTCCAAAATGAAAAGTTACTACTAGGACATAATAGAATTGAACTTAAAGAGAACATCAGATATTTTCTCCCACTGTTAATCTACTATTCACAGTGTTAAGTGTGCAGATAAATTTTGGGGGAAATCGATATAAAATATTATTGTGGAAAATGCCACAACAAATAAATTCACTAAAAAGAAATGCAAGTGATCAATTCACACACAAGAAATTTCAATTTCTCTAGCAATATAAGAAAGGTAAATAGAAATAAAATGTGTAGGCATTTGTAATATTATTTTCTCTATATTGTGAAGAAATGAATGCAACCTCATTCTAGGGTAAAAATTATCAAATGCTGCTGGAGGGAAAGTTGATCATGTGTCTGAAAAAGTTAGCAAAATCAATACAGCATAGGGTGATTGTTCTCAAAATAGATCATTTTCAGAAACATATTTTTTCACCAAACCTCTTCTTTCACAAATGAGCCTATTTAAATGACATTTCATTCTAAAATCTTCCCTTAATTTTCAATAATTATATTTACTCACTTCTTTTTCTGAAAGTGCTAGCTGTGTCTCCTTCCTTTCTTTGCTTCTCACTCTTTACCTTGCAGGTCTGTTATTCATGTGCTGGTATTTTATCTTTTTTGTTGTTGTTGTTCCCTTTGAGACGGAGTTTCGCTCTTGTTGCCCAGGCTGGAGTGCAATGGCGTGATCTCAGCTCACTGCAACCTCCGCCTTCCAGGTTCAAGTGATTCTCCTGCCTCAGCCTCCCGAGTAGCTGGGATTACAGGCACCTGCCACCACACCCAGCTAATTCTTGTATTTTTAGTAGAGATGGGGTTTTGCCATGTTGGCCAGGCTGGTCTCAAACTCCTCTCCTGAGGTGATCCGCCTAACCTCAGCCTCACAAAGTGCTAGGATTACAGGCATGAGCCACCGCACCCGGCCAGTATTTTATCTTTTCTAAGAATGGCATGCCCCTTGATGTCAACACTGATTTCTAATTTATATTTTACCTCTAAATTTTAAAAATGTATACTATATGTAAGATATTATAAGCATTATGTTATTACATTTCATTTAATTTTTCCTTCTAAAAGATGTACAAGATAGTTATTTTTGTGCCCATTCACAAATGAAGAAATGGAAATTCAATTAAAGTATTTTGTCAAAAATGAAGTAGTTGACTAATTGCAGGAAAAGCCAGAACCTAGCCCCGGTCTTTCTTACTTCATTCAGGGTGCTATAACAAAAATACCACAAACTGAGTGGCTTATAGACAACAGAAATTTATTTCTCACAGTTTGGGAGGCTGAGAAGTCCAATCTAAAGGTGTCAGCAGATTCTGTATGTGGTGAAGGACTGCTTTCTGGTTAAAAAGACCCCTTTTCCAGTGTAACCTCACATGGAAGAAGGGGGAAGGGAGCTCTCTTGAGCCTCTTCTATAAGGGCACTAATCCCCTTCGTAAGAGTTTTGCGTTTATGGTCCAATCACCTTCCAATGGTCTCACCTCCGAATAGCATCACACTAGGCATTAAGACTTAACATATACGTTTCAGGGAGATACAAATGTTTAGTCTATAACACGGATTGTTTGATACTCACTAAGCTGTATTGCTACTTATGACAACCTCTCATATAGGGTCTTGCACATATATACACACAGAAGATGCTTGACAGATGAATGTTTACGAGGAACAAACTTGAGTTCTAATTACCGATCAAGCAAGAATGGCTATGTATTGATTACTACTATATGCAAGCCTATTTTACTTTTTAAAAAAGAAGATAATTAATGGATATGCCTTTAATTCGAGTATTTTTTTCATTAAATGTTTTAGGAATAAAAATGATACTTCTATAACATGGTTTTAAGAATGAGGAATAAAGAAGGAAGAAAGAGTAAAAAGGAAGGAAGGAAAGAAAAAAGAAGGAAGAAGAAGAAAAGGAGAAGGAGGAAGGAAAGAAGAAGGGGGATGGGATGGGGGAGGAGGAGGAGAAGGAGAAAGAGAAGGAAGGAAAAGGAGAAGAAGAAGACCTCTGAGCATTTCCAAAAGGTTGTCAGGTTCATGATTTAACAATTTCTTACTACGAGAGTTTCTCCACTATTATGACACTACATCTCTCGAATGATATAAAGGGACTTTTGAAAGGCCAGTAAATCCAATTTTAGCAGAGCACTTCCACATACAGTAATATTAAAATAAATCAGTACTGCAGAGCTAGAAAGACAAAGGCTGAAATGGATTTGATCAAAATTCATAGAGGTATCATGAAGATACTCTATGTAATTCAATTCAGTAATAGTGCAAAAGGTCAATTAGTATCATCCCTTGTACAGATAAACAATAAGTAAAATAAATCACTACTGACAAGGACTATGAAATCTAACATAAACATTAAAAATACATGAATGATTATACTAATAGATAAGCGTAACTTATGAGAGGGATGCACCAAGTGCTGTGGGATTCATTAGGAGTCTCAGGATATAATTAAAGTAAAAACTAAAACTTAGTATTCTTAGGTGAGTGTTACAAGAGGATACTTAGTTTTAGAGAAACACAGGGAAATACCTCTTTATCTCTTTATGTAATAAGTTAGGAATTTATTTTAAGGGTTTTTTCTTTCCCCCAAAGAAATGGTGTAGCAGAGGCTATTTGTGTGCCATGCTACATACCTTTGACTCACTCATGGTTTCAGCTAGAGTTATGGTAGAAAATTCTCAACTTCACTGGCAAAATTTCATTTCAAGGACATAAATATGACTGGAATTACAGGTAAGTAAACATCCCTGATAACAGCCTCCAACCAAGGTATCCGGAGTTAATGGAGAAATGCTTCAGCTGACAGATTTCAAATAGGCAATTCTGAGGTGCATTTTATATAATTCCTCAGAAGGTTCCTATCAGGATTGAGTCTTAGTTGCCAACAGTAGTAACCAAGTTAGTCACATACAGTACTTTATTCCTTTTCCTTTTTTTCTGCCTTATTCTCCCCCTTTCCTCACTACTGCGTTCCATCATTACCTGTAAAATAAACTTCCCACACTCAAGATGTTAACTTAGGTCCTGCTTTCAAGACAACTCATATAAATAATGGAAGTTATAATATAGAAAATAGGTTTGAGAAGAATTTAGATAAATTAAGGGGTGATAAGTGCGTGGAGATGTTAACTCCTGTATCCATCATCAAAGAGGGAATATAATGTAACAGATCACCAGTATGAGCACATTGAAGGTGTAACTGTTACTCTGAAAAAGATACAATTTTGATGGCATGATGCTTCTATATCCTGTGTGTATGTATTTTTAAAAGTACCGTAGATTATATTTTAGTTAATTCATGTTTTTGCCTGAATGGGAAACTATCCATTAATACGGTTGCCTTTCGTATGACTATTGAGGCAAAGTTTAGATTTGACATGAACTTTGGCATTTACAAAAGAAGAAATAATGCCATTTGTAAATCTCACCTCACTGTAACGTTTAGTACAATCCTATTCAAATTAAAAAGGGAGATAATTTTTTTTAAAAAAAGGGGGATAGTAAAAAGAATGCATAGTCAGAAGATGTTTCTCATACCTGACATGTAAATCAATGTTAGACAAAATTTCAGTGATTACCATCTGCTAAACATTAGTAAGTTACTTTTATTTTTTACTTAGTGTAAAAATAGAATAAGCCAGCATTCAGTGCTGTAGCTTCAATATTGCTTTTACAATATTGAAATTAACTCTAGGTTTAGATCCCTGAAGGGCACTTAAATGTAATTTGGTTAACTATCTCCTTCAAAACTTAATATCATTCATGGATTTTAAGGCTTTCAGGCGAGTGGCAAATGCATTATCTCTATAAATACCTTAGTCAATAATGGTGCCAACAAAAGAAACGTGTGCATTCACAATCTAGCCTTGTTAATTCATTCTGTAATAGAAAACTCGTATTAAAATTATTTTTGTTTTAATAAATCTTTGTTTTTATACTTTCAATTAGAGTAATCATTTATAAGATTAATGTCCTGCCTTTTCTATTTATGGCAAATAAGCTGATTTCCTAGGAAAAAGCGTATTTCAGATTATGACATAACCTTCTTGAGATTAAGAATCCCTTATTTATTTTTCCATTAAAATTTATGAAGTTTCTATTGGAGACCCTGTGTGTATAATAGACGTTTATTACATTTTTATCGAAATAAGTTAATTTATAAACTGCAATGACCCAAATAAACAATAAAATTCAGTGTGGTATTGAAATCTTCGGTGTAACATATGTCTTTTCTACTTTGTTCAACATTTGTTGTAGGCTTTGATGAATATAGTTTTTATTAAAATATTTGATACTTTCTTGAATGTAATTATCAGGTACTGTACTAATCTATTTTATTAAAATAATTTTGATGACTTATTTGTGGGAGAAGTTGAGTTATGCAATTTTCATGTAGAAAATACAAGTAGCATGCAAAATAATATGCTTAGTGAACTGCATAGGTGAATATTTTTGCTGGTAATCTTTTTTGAACATGATTGTCTAGTAGAGGACTAGGGTCATGCTAATTCAAGTGCTGTCAGCAACAGGAGTAAAAGTCTTATTAATTAGGACAAATATAGAATTCACACATTTTTTAAAGATGTATTAAATAGGTTCGCAGTATTTAAGAGATCAGCAGGCTAGTACACTTTTCCTATTTTATCCCAAACTGTATAAATTTTATTTCCATGTGAATTTTATAAACTCCAGTGCAAACATTTTATTAAATATATATATAATTATAATCTGATGTTTAAATATATCCCAAGATTCAATTTGTAAAATAGATTTCTAATAAGAAGATCTTGACTGAATTACTGAATTTTCAGTATAAGGTCACTTTTGTATACCCCACTGACTCCGTAATTTTCTGTATTCCTTAATTCCTAAATTCCATTAGCACCTCAAAGAAAGTTCAACATGTATCACCTTAGGTTGTGGAGAAGTGGGGAAACATCCTTCAAATGTCCTTCTTTTCTTGTAAAAAAGAAGTAAAATCAGGACAGAATTTGTACCTTTTCTAAGTTTTTTGGCCAACCAACTCCTACACTCCTATTACTCCCAAGGATATACACAAACACACACACCTACACACACACACAAACACACACCACTTATAGACAAAGAGCTGACATCTCATAGACACAAGATGGAACTGATGGGCGTGCAACATGTGCAGTTGTACAGAGTCACCTGCTTAGATCCCACGCTTGTTTTAATATTCTGCTTTCACCATATTGAAATTATTGATAATATTTTAATAGCATCTTAAATTCTCATGTTGAATTGGGCCCTAAAAATATGTATCTAGTCATGGGTAGACACAATTTTAAATTTCATTCATACTATCTATGAAAAATCTAAACAAATGAGAACTGTTTCCTAATGAATAAAACAATGAAAACATCCACATTTGCCAGAATGGGCTAAATTATGTTGCAATGACAAACTATAATCTCAGTGGCTTAAGAAAAAATAAAAACAAAGTTTTATATATTGGTCATGCTATAATGATGGATCTATTTCTATCACAGTTCTTCTGGGTACTCTGTTTCACATCATATCATTCTGTTATTCCTAATTTCCATTTCTAAAATACTTTTAAACATTTTTAAAATAAGATGTGGAACATAGAGATATTAACATTTATGGTGATCAGAACTTCTTCCCAATAATGTAACTTCTTCAGTAATGAGAAACACCAACTTATCTTTTATAAAAGCTTCTAGAGTAATTATCTGCTGACGAGTGAATGAAAAACCAAAGGGGATATTTTCCCGTGTGAACATGTGCTGCTGAAAAATAATCTCAAATCCTAAATTACAGATGATGTTTGAAATAGTGTGATTCAGTAATAGTAGAAGTACCACCTTTGCTGGTGGTATGTGGTGTCCTCACAGCTATTAGCATCCCAAGGCCAACATTGCTTACAATACTTACAATGCAAACCATTACTTAATGTTCATATAGCATGCTTTTAAAGGACATTCATACGTCATATAATATGCTTTGAAAAAGCGAGATATTCCATACTAAATCAGCAATCTGACACAACTGCTGATTACTTCTTTTCACCACTCCCCAGTCCATAATCCAAACACTTGGCACAGTTTTTAATTCTGCAGAATTATCATGCACTTTCTTTCCTTCACATATGCTTTTCTCTCTGTCTTTATATTTGAGTATTCCTTCTTTCTCCTTGACAACCCCATTCATCTGGTGTGGATAATGCATTCTTTAGTCTTCAACTAAAATGCTACTCTTTGAGGAAGTCATGGCAAGCTCTGTGCACTCCGAGCGAGGTTCCCTTCTTTCTCAAGAGATATGCTTTCTCATCTATTCGAATATTTCTTTACCTTCTCATGTTCTTCATTAGTCTATGAATTCTGAGATGACAGGGGTCTGATTATTTTGTTCACCAGTAAAAATTCAGCACTTATCATGATAAACATTATTTAGAGTAAACTTGATAGATGAGCTTAGTAAAGATTCTAGGAAAAACAGAATGAAATGTTCATTTATAAGTTGAATCTAATGTTCATTTTTTTCATTAATCTATATGTTCACATTAATATAGAGGTTTTGCTATGACTGAAAAGAAAAAGGAATTGTTTATGGTCACTTTTATATCTTTTACATATAAGCAATGCAGACTATGTTTTACTGGAAGCCATTGTGCCTAGGGAAGCAATATCCAGCAGCGGCTTGGAAGTAAACTGATAATTCAAATGCCGATGGTTCTATTACCTCTGCTTCTAACGTGATCTACAACTGTCTGTAATCACTTGGTTTTCTTCAGACACACTTTGCTTATTTTAAAAAACAAGAGTGATGGAATGGGATACAAGAGTATAATGGCTTATCTGGTTTAAAGAGGCAGTTGCAACTTTTGAATCTGTGTGGGTGTGTGACCTTGGAAAGTCCCTTACGTATCTTCATTCCTAGTTTCCTTTTGTGCAAAAAAAAGTATAAAAATATCTATCTAACAAATATACTGTAAGCACCATATGAAAAAATGTACATGGGCATAGTGTATAAACTGCGAGGAGTTCTACACATATAATTTTTAAAAATCAACAATTTTTGTTTAGAATATACCAAACTACCAAAAATTACATTATTGATTGAAAAAATGTATTTCTTTGTCTCTAGGAGTATAAAATATATTATATTGGATTAATATATATATGACTAGATATATACACATGTAACAACATCAGATAGTCATATATGAGAAAACATACTAAAAGATAAATATGTATATATACATATAGACATGTACATATACTATGTGTATATGTGTATATACATATAGATATGTACATACACTATGTGTATATGTGTATATACATATACATATGTACATATACTATGTGTATATGTGTATCTACATTTACTTACATATGAGCCTTTTTTGTATATATATGCTTAATAAATATTCCAAGTTAAATACTAATTAAGTATTTACTTAGTTGATATAATCTTGGGGATCATTGTGCTGCTATCAAAACATATGTATAACCATTTTTAAGTGCTGAGAAAGCCTAAAGAGTAATACAGATATTTAATTAGTGAATTTTCTTATCACAACTTCCATTTCCCATTAATTCAACACAAAATCTATATTTCTGATTTTTTCCTTTTCTATATAAAAGTTGTCAATGTTAAAAAATTAAAGAGAGAAATCAAGACTTCAACAGAAAGCTTTACTTAAGTCAAGCCACTTTTATAAATCCATGAAAGATAGAATATTGGTATTTGGATACTATGTAAAATTTTGTATTTGGGCATTTTAGATATTATGCTTATACAATTAGAAATTCTATGATGTTTATAAAACTAAACCATGTCGTGGAGTGTATAGTTAAAAAAATATAAAAATGGGATTTACTACACTTCCAGTAACGCCCCCAATAACTCTCTCTTATGTTACAGAAATAAAGACCTAACCTTAAGAAGACTTATCTTTTCTCCTAAATGCCTGAATCCACACCTATTGTCAACGTTCCTATGGCTGTGTCTAATAAAATAACCAAGGAGAGGAGCCAGCACATTGTTGTGTAGGCATCATATTTTATCTTAGGGGCAGCTTTCTAGGATCTAAATTAGATCAAAATCAACTTATAATTTCAAAATTTGTCTTTAGCATTAAAGTGTCTTTAGAAGTAGTTTGCTTTTTGGTGAAGGGCAAACTTTTACAAAAAGCCTTTGTTATATACAAATTCTAATCCACTGTAATCTCCTTTGCAGCTATCCTCCCTTCCAAGTAATCTACAATCAACCATCACAACTGAGGAATTACCTTATATTTTTAAATTATAAGACAATTAAGCTTACTAAAAAGGAATACACACATCAAACGATTCATAGTCCAGTTCTGCTAAATATAACCACATTCCTTCCTCTCCAAATAAAAATCATGACACTAGTTTCCTTTTTTTTTTTTTTTTTTTTTTACTTTTTTGAGACTGAGTCTCGCTCTGTTGCCCAGGCTGGAGTGCAGTGGTGCGATCTTGGCTCACTGCAACCTCTGCCTCCCAAATTCAAGTGATTCTCCTGCCTCAGCCTCCCGAGTAGCTGGAGCTACAGGTGCGTGCCACCATGCCCGGCTAATTTTTTGTATTTTTAGTAGAGACGGGGTTTCACCATGTTAGCTAGGATGGTCTCAATCTCCTGACCTCATGATCTGCCCGCCTCAGCCTCCCAGAGTGCTGAGATTACAGGTGTGAGCCACTGCGCCCAGCCGACACTAGTTTAAGATCCATTTTGTCCCAGATTTTTTTTTCTGCAATGTAAACTTTAAGCTCATTGCAAATATTAATGTTTGTTAGTTAATATAATATATCCTATGATGACTCAAGAATTAAGTTTCTTAGAGCCTAATAGCTATAGAGAAATAACTAAGCATAATTATTTATTAACTACATAAAGACTAAACTAAAATATGTAATGTAAAATCTTAAAAGGCAGTACCAAGAACATAGAGATACTCCATACATTTTTCAGTGAAAAAGTAAAATGTTTTAAAAATCTATTTTAAAAAAACCAACAAATGATTTTAATCTTAATTTTGCATAAATTTGTTCATGTTATAGATATACTTTCATAGACGGCCACTTACGTATGTATGTATGTATGTTCCACTATTTTTCTGTGCCAATGTCAGTTCTGTTAAACAAGGTTGTAACATATTTCTCTTCTATTATTCTTCAATATGCTAGGGGCATCATTTTCCAGTTTTCCTAGCACATATAATGAAAAATCTATATAGTTTTATGAGTTATAAGAAGGGCAGGGTAATAAAAATGAGAACATTTACAGCTATCACTTGTTTGATAACAGATAGCATTTTGGATAGGTACCTTCAAAGGTGACATTTTTGTTCTTCAGTTGAGTTTTATGAATTTTTGGTTTATATTTCATCTCAGTGACTTTTGGTCTCGTAGGATTAGTCTTGTACTGTTAATGTTACAAAAGATGTATATGATATTGTGGTTTTCTTTCCTTATTAAACAATTTTATACACCTAATAATACCTTTTAGCGGACATCTGTGGAGTGCTCTTTAGAGGAACGATCATGTTACAATCTCAGTGCTACTGTGTTCTTTAAGTTATGAAGAAAAAGTGCAAAATAACCCATTTCTCTAGTAATACTGATATTAGTTGCTTTCAACAATATAAGACATTACAGTGAAATGACTTAAAGATAAGAAAATTACAGGCTTAATCTAACTGTTTAAGATATGTTAATTCATCCAGATAAGAATGTGACATATACACATATATGTCTGTGTATAGGTCTATATCATAAAGCAAATATTTAATATTTGATATAAATGACAACCAAATGTATTACTGTAGTATCTGAATATCACTCTTAAGAAAATAATTATAGGAACTACATTCCATTTAATATTCTCCAAAATTGTACATATGTAATATATTAATTAATGTAGTCTGTAACAAAATTTGTTCACATATTCATAATTTTTATAATACTGCACACAGTTCCCAATGGCCAAACCATTAACATGTTCTCTTACTCTATAAGTACTTAAGCATATGTTTGAGTATATTACACTAATGAAATTTTGTTATCTGCACTTTATTTTCTCTATACCTATTATTATACAAAATATTTTTCTGCATATTTCCCATTTGTTGTATGGGTATTTACTTTTTGATCAATTTTAAGTGTGACATCATGAGTAAAATCTTAGACTTTGGGCAAATCCTTCGTGTTTTCTATTAAAACTTTAAACTATGTCTCTTTCAAATCTCACTCAGATGACAAATGTTTTCCTCTTTCAGACTATTTTTAAAAAATAATTAACACAGATTTTCTTAGACCATGAAGTTTGCAGATACTCCCCTTACGTTGTTTAACTTAGATTTTTCATGTGTGATTATAAGGGAATAACATTGTCATTTCTAACTGAAAATGAAAATTGTTCTAAGTCCTTAAATAGAAATTATTTTATTTTTCTCTACAGGTCTATAGACAAACCTAGAAAATATTAGCACACTCCAAGTTAACTTGAAATTCTGAGTGTATCCTCAGATTACTGTCTTGTCTCATGGGATGCTAGGGTTTCCTTATTAATTCTGTTTTCTTTCTAATTTTGTTCAAAGCAGCTTCTGAATCGCATTACCCCAGACTCAATCTAAGGTTTAGGTTTTCCTACTACTTCTATTATCCTGGAAGTGGGCTCTTGACTGCCCATATATTGCAGACATTTTATCAGAAAACGACAGCAAAATGATGCTCTTGTCTTTGTCATGTTTGAAATTTAGAAAGTGGGGTTAAAAAATAAAAGAACTCACAAGCTCTGTTAAAAGATCTCTTAAGAGTTGCTGCATGACTAGATGCTAAGTATGTTGTAGGAATATGATGCTGTAGGACTGGCTATGAATTCAAGATTCTGTGATATTTATTAAGGTAACATAAAACACAGTAATATTAACAACATTTATGGTAGTTAGTACAGTTTAGCTCACTTATCATGTCCAGGACATAACATATTCTTTGCACAAGTAGATTTAAAATTTTAAATAAAGCCTTGATTACTACAGAAGATAGTTCCCTTATGTCATCTGTAATTTTTTTATGCTTTTGGTTACTATAGCGTGATTACTTTTTAAGCACTGTGTTACCTACCTTACTAGAATTATCTCAGTTATCTACACAAATCCCACGACATAAGTGTACTTATTAATCTAATTTGCTGACAACTACACTCACGTCTAAGGATACATAGCAAGTAGGTGCAGAGTCACAATTCAAACTGAGATCTGGTTGCCTTCATCACAAGAATGCTAAACTTCTTTTAGTGATGAGGAGACTAATGAGAATAGAGCAGATCAAGTGATTTCACAGCAGCAATATCACTTATATTACATCGGTGCATTGATTAACAGAGGGCAATTTTACCACTTCCTCACCAACAGGGAACATTTAGTAATGGTACTAATCTTGTCTTTATTTTAAAAGTTGCTATTTTGTTAATCATTAATTTTAGTATAATTTTTAATTTTTAAAAAATATTGCATTAAAATATTGTTCCTGATCAATCAGCTTTTGGGTACCTTCTTTAAATTTGTGCCCATGGCAAATGCCTCATTCACCTCACCCCAGTCCTGATCTTCTAAAAATATTTTTTTCTTTCTTGCATTTTTACAAATTATAATTGACAAATAACAATTGTATATTTTTATGGAAGGCAATCTGATGTTTTGATATATATATATACACGTGTGTGTGTGTATATATATATATACACACACATTGTAGGTAGATTAAATCAGGTGAATTAACACATCCATCACTTAACTACTTATTTTTTTTGTAGTGAGAACATGTAAAATCAGTTTTGAAATATACAATAAATTATTAACTACGGCCATCATACTGTGCAATACATCTCTAAAATGTATTCCTTCTATCTAACTGGAACTTTGTACTCTTTGACCAACATCTTTCCTTGCCCCAATGCTACACCCGCTTTGGTCGTCATAACTCAGGATGCTACTGCCTTCTACTTGGTAGATGACGGGAATACTGCTAAACATCCAAAAATGCACAGGACAGCCTCCAATAGTTATCCAGTCCAACATGTCAACAGTGCTACAGTTGAGACATCCAGGGTGAGTGAGCTCTTCATGAACTACAAAAGTCTTTAATACTCATTAATTTATCTGATTCAACTACTTTCAACCATTATGTCAGATGACGTTTAAAATACATTTAATCCCACGTCTACCTCCATGTTTCTTCTCTTAACATTTGCTATGATGTTCATTATGAATGTTTGTTTCTATGCATTTACTGATCAAACTACATATATCAGCTTCCTAGGTCTGCCATAAAAGAATTCCACAAAATTGGAGGTTTAAAGCAAAAGAACTGTATTTTCTCATAGCTCTAGGGGCCAGAAGACCAAAATGAAGGATTCAGCCAAGCCACAGTGTTTTGAAGATGATAGAGGAGAATTTTCCTTGACTCTTCCACCTTCTGGTGGCTTCATGCATTTTTTGGCTTAGGTATACATTTTACAGATCTCTGCCTCCATCTTTACATGACCTTGTCCCCTATGTGTCTCTTTCTCTATCTACATCTTTTTTTTTTTTTTGAAGGACACCTATCATTAGATTTATGGTTCACCTGGTTAAACAAGAAAGATCTGATATGAAGATATTTCACTTACTTAAACATGCAAAGACCCTTTTTTCCAAATAGGGTCACAATCACAAGTTCCAGGGTTAAGATTTGGACAAATCCTTTGAAGGGCACAATTCAACTCACTACACTGGGATATTCATATTTGTGAAAATTTCCTTCAATTTATATGAATCCATGCTATAAATCTCATTCTAAATTGAAATAAAAAATTGTTAAGGTCCACATGGGAGAATAAATAAGATGATGATGCAAAGAAACATTTTAAAGGATGAAAATAATAAAGATATTTGACCTGAAGAAAAAGATGTAAAGGAAAGGCAACAGCATGGCATAGGGGTGAGAAGAGAATGGATATTTATTGAATGCCCACTACCACCTTGGTGCTGTGCTAGTGTATACATACATTATACAAAGAAAACATAATCAAAAAGTTTTATTCAAGCAATGACACAGAAACACAGCATTGATATGGTTTGGCTGTGTCCCCACCCAAATCTCATCTTGAATTGCAGCTCCCATAATTCCCATGTATTGTGGGAGATAACCTGTGGGAGATAATGGGAGATAAACCACTGGGGTGGTTTTCCCCATACTGGTCTCATGGTAGTGAATAAGCCTTACGAGATCTGATGGTTTTATAAGGAGAAACCCCTTTCGCTTGGTTCTCCTCTCTCTTGCCTGCTGGCATGTGAGATATGCCTTTTGCCTTTTGCCTTCTGCCATGACTGTGAGGCCTCCCTATCTATGTGGAATTGTGAGTCCATTAAACCTCTTTTTCTTCATAAATTACCCAGTCTTCAGTCTGTCATCATTAGCACCGTGAAAATGGACTAATACAGTAAATTGGTACCAGTAGAGTGGGGTGCTGCTCAAAAGATACCTGAAAATGTAGAAGCAACTTTGGAACTGGGTAACAGGCAGAGGTTGGAACAGTTTGGAGGGCACAGAAGACAGAAAAATGTGATAAAATTTGTAACTTCCCAGAGACTTGTTGAATGGCTTTGACCAAAATGCTGATAACGATATAGACAATGAAATCCAGGCTGAGTTCGTCTCAAACAGAAATGAGGAACTTGTTGGGAACTGGAGTAACGGTGACTCTTGCTATGTTTTAGCAAGGAGATTGGTGGCATTTTGCCCCTGCCCTAGAGATCTGTGGAACTTTGAGCCTGAGGGAGATTATTTAGGGTATCTGGCAGAAGAAATTTCTAAGCAGCAAAGCATTCAGGAGGTTACTTAGGTGCTGTTAATAACATTCAGTTTTAAAAGGGAAACACAGCAAGTTTGAAAAATTTGTAGCCTGATGATGTGGTAAAAAAGAAAAACCCATTTTATAAGAGAAATTCAAGCTGGCTGCAGAAATTTGCATAAGTAATGAGGTGCCAAATGTTAATTGCCAAGACAATGGGGAAAATGTCTCCAGGGCATGTCAGAGACCTTTGCAGCAGCCCCTCCCATCACTGACCAAGAGGCCTATGAGAAAAAAATATGGTTTTGTGGTCCAGGCCCAGAACCCCCTGCTGTCTGCAGTCTAGGTACTTGGTGCCTTGTGTCCCAGCCACTCTAGCCATGGCAAAAAGGGGCCAAGATACAGCTCAGATTGTGTCTTCAGAGGGTGCAAGCCCCAAGCCTTGGCAGCTTCCACATGGTATTGAGACTGTAGGCACACAAAATCAAGAATTGAGGTTTGGGAACCTCCTAGATTTCAGAGGATGTATAGAAATGCCTGGATGTCCTGGCAGAAGTTAGAGGCAGGGGTGAGGCCCTCATGGAGAACCTCTGCTGGGGAAGTGCAGAAGGCAAATGTGGGATTGATGCCCCCACACAGAGTCCCTACTGGGGCACTGCCTCATGGAGCTGTGAGAAAAGGGCCACCGTCCTCCAGCACCCAGAAAGGTAGATCCACCAACACCTCACACCATGTGCCTGGAAAAGTCACAGACAATGCCGATTTGTGAAAGGGGTTGGGAGGCAGGCTCTATCCTGCAAAGCCACAGAAGTGGTGCTGCCCAAGGTCATGGGAGCCCATCTCTTCCATGAGTGTGACCTGGATATAAGACACGGAGTCAGAGGAGATCATTTTGTAGTTCATAGATTTGACTGCCCCACTGGATTTTAAACTGGCATAGGGCCTGTAGCCCCTTTGTTTTGGTTAATTTCTCTCATTTGGGACAGCTGTATTTACCCAATGTCTGTACCCATTGTTTCTAGGAAGTAACTAACTTGCTTTTGATTTTACAGGCTCATAGGTGGAAGGGACTTGCCTTGCCTCAGATGAGACTTTGGACTGTAGACTTTTGAGTTAATGCTGAAATGAGTTACGACTTTGGGGGACTGTTGGGAATGCAAGATTGGTTTTGAAATATGAGGACATGAGATTTGGGAGAGGCCAGGGACAGAATGATATGGTTTATCATGTGTTCCCACCCAAATCTCATCTTGAACTGTGGTTCCCATAATTTCCATGTGTTGTGGCAGGAAACTGGTGAGAGATAACTGAATCATGGGGGTGGTTTCCCCAATACTGTTCTCATGGTAGTGAATAAGTCTCACAAGATCTGATAGTTTTATAAGGGGAAACTCCTTTCACTTGGTTCTCCTTCTCTCTCTTGCCTGCCACCATGTAACATGTGCCTTTCGCCTTCCACTATCATTGTGAGTCCTCCCCAGCCATGTGGAGCTGTGAGTCCATTAAACCTCTTTTTCTTTATAAATTACCCAGGCTCAGGTCTGCCTTTATCAGCAGTGTGAAAATGGACTAATACAATCATATTAATTCTTATTGCTTTTACAAAAGTCATGTAAGAAATATATTTCAGCACATTTTAGAATGACTCAATTTTCATCAGAGATAGTTCTATGTTTCTATATCTCCAAGTGCATTTTATTTAATTTTCTTTAGTATGCTATTTATATTTTTATTTGTGCAACATTTATAAGTAGGTAATATTTTATTGTACACTTTGGTTTAAATTTTATTTGAATATATTTTTATAGTAGTTTAAAAACGTATTATGGAGAAATAGCCTTTGTTCAACATATTTTATATTTCCTGCTCATCTAAATTATATTGGATCCCAAAAAGTTGATTTTATTTTCTCCTTTATTTGCTTCAGCCCCTAAGACCTTGTTAAAGCTTAATAGATTACTAATTACAAGTAATAATGTCATCCTAAAATACATTCAATTATGCTATGATATCATTTCTAATTGAAAATTACAATATTTAATATAGAGTAAAAAACAAATGAAAGCCAAAAAACAATATATTTAGGATTTATAGTATGCATAAACACCAAGGTCAAAATAAGCTAACATTTATTTAAGTTTTATGTTAGATCAAGAAGTTGAAGAATATTGTTCTTACATGATTTGATTCTTTACCTTAGGTTCCCCCTACCTCTCTGGAATTTGCTTTATATTATTTCTTATCTATTGTTTTCCTTGGGAGCAGGGCTGGCAAAGAAAGAGAAAGAGAAAGAAAGAGAGAGAGAGAAAAAATATTTTAAACCACATGTAGAAAAAATATTTATTTAGAAAGATAAGTGGTTTCCTCTCTCTTTAAAAATATTGTTTGCAGGTCCTAAAGAAGCGTTGATTGTTTTTTGGGTCATTACTTTATAAAATTTTTTTCCCAAATGTTTAATGATTTTAACTCAGATCCATACTTTGCCATAAAAAGTATGTTTTAAATTACGATTTAATGTACCAAGACACCAACATTAACTATGAAATAATAGAATATGATTTCAACCAAATCTGTCCAAATTTGATATCTATTTTTCTTTCAGGAAAAGGTACTTTGAGTTCAGGTGATTTGTAACATAACATGCCAACCCACTTTGAATACAGAAATAATAGCAGCAATGATAACAGCTAATGTTTATTGCCTTCTTATTAAATGTCAGTTTTTTCGAAGTGATTTATACGTATTGTGTCATTTATCATCACAGCAACCTTATGATTTAGGAAAGGCTTATTATCCCTATTTTACATAGAAAAACAGCAAATACTGGGACACCACAATTTCAAGTAAGGGTCTCAAGGCAACTTAACTAGGAAGTGGGAGTCTGGGCAATGAACACAATACCAGATTGTATAATATGTGTGCAGCACTGTGCTAAGTGCCTATGCTGTGTGTGTGTGTGTGTGTGTGTGTGTGTGTATACACATTATATTTTTATGCTGTAAAGACGTTCCTGGGGTGACACAGTGTGACTATGTAATGGAATTAACTATTCTTTTGCAACATTATCTATAAATTTGTTCATAACGGTAAGTTCTCCAATATTACACAGTAGAAAAGACTCAGATATCAATACCCAGGTATTTTAAATTTGGAATGAAGAGAATGGTGCCTTTCAAGCTAAAATTTGTGGAGTATAGTCAAGGCCCATACATTTATATGCCTTGAAGTATTTTTTAGCAGAATTTACTTTTATACTAATATCTTTAAGATTAATTCATATTTGTCTTTCCCTGTATTAACAGTGGACATTATTTAAAAAATAAATCCATGAGATAAATGCCTACTCATAACAAACTCCTTTTGATTTATCTGGTAAATTTCTTGACTGAAAATTTCTGTGCAATGTAATTGACATCCACAATTCCTATTCTCTACTTAAGTTCACAGCTGGCCCATGCAAAATAAGCCATTTTGTAGTCCATCTGTTCTAAGGAAGTGATTTGTAACAGTGCACAACTTAGACCAGTACTGCTTTATCACTAGAGTTGCAGTTTCTAAATAGATTTCAAAAATAATGATGTTCAGTTTCTACTTTTAGATACCAGTGCGATAACACCTGTCTAGACAGATGGTCTCTGGACTGTGAAACTAAAGACAGCTGAGAAGCAGAAAAAATCAAGTTGGTGACTAGTGTGAAACCATTAGTATCTCTTGTGGAAACCTTTTAGTCTCTGAAAAATACTTTCTATTAAGATTTATGGGAAACTTAAGCATGCTATGAATACGAGTATAGACTAAAGTAATTGAAAGAAAAATGTACATAAGAGATTAAAGGAAAGTGACTCATTATTGTCTTTAAGAAGAATTCAGGAATCAGATAATTAATATTTTATATTAAACAATCGAAGACTATCGTTTTCTTCCCTCAGAGACAAACAGCAGTTACTAGCAGTTTTTATTTGCCAAAAGTCAGACGATGAAAACCTCGTAGCAGAGAGCTGATTTTTCTCTTTTCATGCAGTTGTCCCCTGTGGTGTAGGTGACCTTATCATAAAGTCTTCTGCTTTTTCAGCCACTAGTGTTGTGGTCTATGTAAGTGGAAAATTAGTCTGGGTACCTCGAGGAAATAAAAAGCAGACTTCCAACCTGTACTGCTCTGATTACACTGTCTTGCATGGCCTACTTTGTCAACTATGTCGCTTCTCAAGGTTAATACCTGCTTCTTCAGGAATAATACCATATGCCTGATGGAAATTCATCTGTTTCAATCCAGTTTACAGACCTAAACATTCATCAGTAAGTAAGTCAACAAATATCTTTTTATGACCAAAAAGTCCAACTCTTTGAGATTATTGAAGCCATGAATGAGAAATGTGTTGTCTCTGATTTGGTAAATGCTGCTTAATTATTTATTTAGAGAAGGAAACCTCTATTCCCCCTCTCAGTTAACTACAGGGCAAATGAGATATATAGAATTCCACATTTTCTAACAGAACCTAGATACAGCAAATTTATTGAGGCTTAAAATTTAGTTTTTTTTCGCTCAGAAATTATATAAGGAGTATAATTCCCACCTAATTGTTTTTAGTTTAATGTTATATTGATTTTTAAAATCTTATTTACTTCCTTATCTCACCACTTTTCTTACTATGTAAACTGGCCTTTTACCTTCAATTTATACAGGTTTCAATCCTAAGAGAAAGACATCACCTAACTTAAAGTATAAATTGTTTTACCTATGTAGGAAAGACATTAGCATTTAAAACTAAGGTGCTTTCTATTACCAAAATAAAGCAAATATGGTTCTTGAAAATAAATTTTCTCAAATTAATTGTATCAATAATGGCTTAAGTTTTCAAAAATAGATATAAAGGTTTTGGTGAAGCATTCTAATATTAATTCACCTAGAATATAGTAATATAGTTAAAGTAATTTTTATAACTCAAAATATGAAGAAATTTATTATCTCTGTAAATGCACGGATGTTACAAAATTGTATTATGTATGGTATGCTATTATGGATTTGATTTCAAAATTATGTAAATATCACAGAAAAAAATCCTTATGGTCTTGGTCAAAATTAAATCATTGTAATAATGTATAGGTAAGTGAAATATATTCTGCCCTAGAGAAAATTTTCAGGTTTTGAATTAGTGGTAATACATCATATTTTTGCTTTGCTTGTTCTTCTCTTTTCCAGTGGAACGTATATAATCTCCAACCCCATCTCAGTTTGTACTCATATTGTCTAATGGTTGATGACTTTGACATATTTGTATGCCTCCCTAACACTAAAAAAATTGTTGGACTGTATGTGCAAGGGACATTGGATTAAAAGACACAAGGTGACATTTGGATAAAAGGATACACCAGTGGTTTTCTTTATGATATTTATCTAACTCCAATTATTTGGATTATAAGAAAAGTGAACTCAGTGTAGATTGAATAATGTTTTTTAACACAGACACATTACTTGCAAATATGCACAGAACATAGTGATAGCTAATAAAGTGTAGCACTGTATACACATACACAACAGATATGATTGTGATTTTAAATTCTTATAACAGGACATTCCTCCTAATTAAATTTATAAATTGAGAACTACAATGCTTTTGCAAGAGTCTTGAAATCATTATCTGCAAAGTATATCAGCAAGGAAACTAAAGCCTGTCATATAATAAACTTAAGTCTTAATGCATCCAAATGCAAGCAGTATGACAGCGAGAAAAATCAGATACACCCTTCATACGTATTTAGTAGACTAGTTTTTGAATGCCTTGACTGAAAAAAAATTGGAATGCTTTTGTGCAAAAGAAAGTCTAATAATAGCCTACTCCCAGTAAAGAAGATATAAAAAATAAAATAAAAACACAACTGGGTCCTACTGTCAGACTTGAAACCTTGGAAAAGTCATTAAAATATTAACATATTTTACCACTTGTTTTTCCTATCTTAAAGAATTACCCTGGGGATCAAATAAAATAAAACCTATGAAAACACTTTGAAATCTATGCAATCATAGACAACTCTGTGGCAATATTATATTCTGCATGTTTCTAGTTAAAAGGAAACAATTAGGCGACTGTTCTTCTCATCTTGGATGCTTATTTTAAATTACTGGTCCATTAAATTTATGAATCTCATCTATTTTATTTTTCCTGAAACAGAAGTACTACTTACTGTCACCAAAGTCATAATATTGTTTTCATCACAAATACTTTCTATCATAGCCAAAAGTAATTGCACAGAAATGAACAAATTTTATCCTAAATTAGGCATTTTTACTAATTTTAATAGCTTTGTATCTAAAACCAATTATTTTTCAAAACCAATGAACTTTAATGTATATTAAGATATTTTTATCACATTATTTTCACAGTTGGATACATTTACTTAACTAGTAGATATTTTTCAAAGGAACAAAAGCATTTCCACTGAAGTTATTGCAAGATATTAATTCAACTAAAACATCTATGTTGAACCATTCATGTAAATTACAGACAATTTAAATATTGATGCTGTTTGAATAAAATTGAATGAATATCACATTATATCATATTTAAAACCAATGCACTTAAACAGAATAGATGAAAAAGAAATAAAACCAATTTATATATTGAAGGACTATGAATACTTAATTTTTTGAAAAATCACATCATGTCTCTCAATGTAAGTTATCTTGTTCTTGTCATTGCCCTGAACATAAAGTTCGTGGCTCCTGACTGCTCACAAAATAATGTCCAAAATACTCAGCTTGCCTGCTAAATCTTTATCCAAACTACAGTCCCAATTTCATTTGTTAATTCACCCTCTCTTTCCATGCTTATACAATCCAAATATGCATATAAGCTTCTACCACTATACACAGGCACCTACATCTCTTAGTTTCCCTCACTCTACTCAACAAGCCTGATATTAATGTACTTTTATGTCTCTTCTCCTACGTTTATCTTAGTGGTGATTTTCTGCCCTTACTCTTTCTTAGCTGGCATTCCACTCATCACTCAAGAGCTACCGTAAATGCTAGTATTTCATACATGCCCCAGGTAAAAGAAGTAACTTCCATATAAGTATATATTTATAATGATTTGTACTCTCATTATATTACAGCCTATTGGATACATCTATCACTCTCACCATTTTGTATTTTCAATAACAGAGTACATAATCTCTAATTTACAGGGGCAAGAATAGTAAAATTGAAATACATTTCTTGGGGGAGGAGTAGAGGTAATAGTGGATGATCCTACATGACAACTATGCATTAGGTAGAACATTTCCAAATCATACATACATCAGAAAGGTAAGGCTTTTATTTGTTTTGCATCAATCATATCTGATAATATTTTTTAGGTGTGACCTCTTAAATTAGTATACAGTATATTTAGTTTAATAATATGCATGGATTAGAAGAAATACCTAATGTCGATGACAAGTTGATGGGTACAGCAAGCCACCATGGCACGTGTATACCTATGTAACAAACCTGCATGTTCTGCACATGTATCCCAGAAGTTAAAGTATAATTTTAAAAAAAGATAGAAACCTAATAATAATAATAATATGCATGGTTGTGGGGCCTATATGGAATGAAAGGTGGAAAAGGTACTTTTACTTACCATGAATAAATGAATTATATTAAGAACAATATACTTTTACTTACCATTAATCTCCTTTCTCACACTAATGACTGCTGTATCTCTTGATCACACACAACTTTAAGTGCTAATACTGGGGGGCTCTTTAGTATCCACAGGAGACGGGGTTGGTAAAAAATACTTGTAATTTACCACCTACCCCGGACTTTCTTCCTTACTATTCAGGGTATGCCTATTTGACACAAACAGCTACTCCTTCCGTGGCCATTAATAACACTGTCACTATTGTTCTTCCTCTTGTGTAAATTTTTCTTTTTTCCTGACATGGCTGTCTTCTGTATGCCACATGTTAGCGCTGTCTTATCTTTTAAGATATTACGAGACGTTTCCATCCTTCTCAATAGAGCAGCACTTTAATCACTGAGATTTTGTTTCTACCTAAAAATGGTCAGATGGTCAGAAACTGCTTCTCTTATGCCACAAGGGGCTATTACATTTATTTCAGAGTTTAAGTATTTCTAAATATATTTCAACAGGCTTAACTCTGGGTGTTAAGGTTTCATAATTGCTTATAATCAGAAATCCAAGTTCCCTCAGACTGAATCAATGTTTTAGACACACATTAATTTAAATTATACATGGGTAGTACTACTAACAATAATGACATATTAATGAGATTAATCAATAATGCATTATATTGAAAACAGCATTTTATAATTATTATGGTTACTTTTGTGAGAATGATAGATATTAATGAACAAAAATTACTTATGCCCATAGGATATTTGATAGATAGTGACAAAAGACCCAGTCTTAATGGTGGTAGTGATAAGGGATTTGAAGCCAATTCTTTAAAGATAAATAGGTGTACTAACAGTATCTAATTGGGTAGAAATCATTAATGTTCAGAAATATTTCTACTATATTATATTATCTTATATGTTATATATCAATATGTTATTTCCAAATGCCTCACAGAGTTTTAAGTACTTATTTGAAGTGATCGAGTATGGCCATGAGGCACAGGGGAAAGGGCACTAATTTGAAAGTCAGAGATTTAGACAAGTTATTAAATTCTCTGAGCCTGGGGTTCCTCATAAAGATAACTGTACTTGCCCTGACCTGCATTTCCCTAACTCGCCTCATTTGGTGATTTAAAATAAAAATAGAATGATATATTATGCCAGACGAAATGTAAAGGGCTATAAACTCAGGGGTGGTTATTACAAACTGTCCCTAAGTTTGTCACTGCTAATTTCACAAAAGCATTCATTTGACATTGCCTTTCTGCTCCTACATTCATCAACTTTGTGGACTCTGGTTAACTTTTCTTACCCTCTGCATTGTAAATTTAGCTGGTTTTTAGCCTTCCCAACATGGGTCACATTTAATGTCAAAAGAAAACAACAGTTAGTCATATATTAACTGAATAGCCATATATTAACAACCAAAAAACAAAATAAGAAATAAAAAAAAAAACAGAAAAACAATAGCAACACATTTTCAATCTTCTGTTGTGTTGTCCAGCGTACAACAGAGACTATCTTATTTGATTTATGCTTTGCTTCCTATCCTTCAGAGATTACTTCCTAGTGTCTGGCAACAGAGATCATAGAGAAATGCCCTTGTTAAAGTTTAAAAATAATTTCTGTATTTAATTAATATCTATTACAACTAAATTAAACAATAACTATGCTTTAAGAGAACTAACCCTGCTTTTCACTCCTGTATGTGTAACTTGGTAAGTTTAAATTAGAGGAAAGTTGTTTCTAGTCATCTATAAGTCACAAGTCAATTAATAAAATTTCTAGGGTCCCTCCTATATGTGCTCTCTCATTCAACTAACAGCTATGTACTACATGTCCTAGAATAGAAATTCTATACAAATAATTTATCTTAAAATTCAAGAAATAATAAAATAAATAAGCAATGAAAATTGGAGAACCCATTTCTTAAAGTAAAAGTTGCCATTTTTGGCATTTAGTTTCTTAAACAGTTAATGTAACAATCTCAAAAAAATTATTATAAAGTACCAGAAAGTACTGAAACACAGAAAGGGTACAACAAACATAAACCATAATAACACCACCCAGATATAGCTACAATTATCATTAGATTTTTGTATATATTTTCTGCACCTGAATACAAACACACATCTATAACAAAAATGGCTCCATGATGTTTTGTAATATGCTTACTTTATTCAGTAATATAACATACACAACTTTTACCATTTGTAGATGTACATAAGTATCATAATTTTAATGACTTCATAGTATTCTATACTTAAATCATATTTAGTTGGTTTCTAAGTTAATGGATATTAAAATTGATTCCAATTTTTCAAATATTGTACATTTTTATTCATTGAGCTTTCTTTTACATACATTCTTTCAAATTGGCCAGTTTTTAGGTAGTTTTTTATAAGTGCAATTGATCAACATTTTGACAATTTTTAATGCAAAAATAATGTAACATGTACTCTTAAGTGTGATAAACTAAGTAAGTCTTTGTTCCATAAAAATGATGTAACTACTGTTGTCATATATAAGCTCAGATATTTAGGAGATACACAGAATACCCAAGTACTCTGTATATCTTTGCACAATAAAGCAAAATACAATAAATGAGGTATACTTATATTAGCTATGGATTGTAATCTGAGATGGATTGGACTACCGATTAACTTTTCTAAGATAAATTGTTAGAAAGGTTATATTGATACTACTTTTAAAAATTGCACCTAAAATACTGAAGAAGTCATACAATTATGATAGGTCTGCACTAAGGAACTATTAGTAAAACAATAAACTAAACAACAAAAAACACATTTTCTTTCTTTCTCATGTATTGGCTCCTGTTTGCAAAATTGGGGAAGAAAAATCATTATTAATACACCACTTAATATATTCCAGGGATATCATACTTTATTAATCTGATTTCATTTAATCTTAATAAAAATGCTGTAATTTGGATAGCATTCCTCCAATCTTGAAGAAAATGAAATGGAGATTTAGGTATGTAAACTATTTGACCAAGATCATTGAGTTAGTTTTGTTTTTCTCCATTTTGCTTTGGCTTTTTCTCCTCGTATCCATTGTTTGTCATTCCTCTGCTCTATTCTATATCATAAATGGCCAACACATAAAAACTAGGTTGCTCAAGTTCTGTTGCCAACCAGCCTTTAGCTAATGAGACACCTAGCAGGAAACTGGAGGGTGACAAAAAGAAGCCAAAGTAAGTTCCCTTCCTCTGCTCTAAGCAGCATCCCCGCAGATGAAGTGCCTCTTCTGTGATTTCAGCTCCTGATAGACAACCTCTCCCTTGGTGGGCTCAGCTCTCACAAAGCAGCCTCACTATGATTCCAGCTCCTCCCAAGTGGTGGTCTCTACTCTGGAGCTCTGTAACACTCCTCAACTCTCTGACTTGCCAGTCTTAAGGGAGGTAACAGCTTTCTACTCTGTGAATTTCTGGGTTCGTCTTGGTTCCTTGTGCCTTACAGACCTTTCAACAACTTTATCATTTGGTTCCAAAGCAAAACTAGCACCAGAGACCACCAAACTATTTCACATTTGTTCTGTTTTCCTGATTAGCCCCAGTAATCAAATCCAGGTCTACCTGGATTCAAGGTGTGCAGTTGTTCCAGTTTTTCATGTAGGAATTTCAATGTAATTGCTAATCCTAGAGCAAAGGGGAAAATGACCAAAGTTATAGTAACAGGACCGCAAGTGGTAGGAATTGTTTGTTCAGTCTATAAATTCTTCAGTTTAGAAAGGCAGATATACACAAATGGCACATCTTTATCACTGTGTTTGATTTAGGTCTCGATTTCATTTCCTGCATTTCCTGCAAAGTCAGGAATCTTTCATAGACATAAGGCTTTTTTTTTTTTTTTTTTTTTTTGAGACGGAGTCTCGCTCTGTCGCCCAGGCTGGAGTGCAGTGGCACGATCTCGGCTCACTGCAAGCTCCGCCTCCGGGGTTCACGCCATTCTCCTGCCTCAGCCTCCTGAATAGCTGGGACCACAGGCGCCTGCCACCGCGACGGGCTAATTTTTTGTATTTTTAGTAGAGACGGGGTTTCACCGTGTTAGCCAGGATGGTCTCCATCTCCTGACCTCGTGATCCGCCCGCCTCGGTCTCCCAAAGTGCTGGGATTACAGGCGTGAGCCACCGCGCCCGGCCGTTTTTTTTTTTTTTTTTTCTGGTGAGCACAATACATCAGAAATTACCTTCCTGACAGTATGAAGTACTTTGTCCTTTGACACATTTCTTTTTTTTTCAGGCTATAACTTTTTCTTTTCCCTTATAACTAAGATCCTTAATACAGAAACATTTCACAACAACTTGCACAGGTATAAGGGATTTGTGGATTTTGTTCTGTTATTGTATTTAGCTGTCTTTATCACATGATCTGATAAGCAAATAATTTTAAAACTTCACAATGTATTTCACTGGCTGAAATTGATTAATAATCAATAAGTTATTATGTCACTTACAGCTATGAACAGAGTTAATGCTGAGAAAACTGTAAAATTTAGTAAATCTTTTGCATCCCCAATTTCTGCTTCTGTGCCTTTTACTGCCTTTCTGTTTTATAAGCCACAACAGGCCCATAATAACTTCAAGGGGCTGCTGATCTACTTACTTTGTAATAAGACATCCCATTTAAAAGAAAAAAATTCGCATTAAAAAACATAAGTGGTTCTTGATGTCAATGAATATCCCCGTTGTCTCTTTTTACATAATATTCAGAATTAGTGACATATGAATGAACAAAATATTTGAGGAAGTGGGTTCTTATGAACTTTTACATTTATCTATTAAAAACAATCATCATGGTTAAAAGTATTTATTAAGCACTTATTATACCCCAAGGTATTAGACTCCAAAAAGAGAAACAGAATTTTTCTAAAAAGTGGTATATTACCTTAGGTACGTTCCAGATTCACCATAGTAAATGTCTATCTGTTCCCTGAATAAATGGCTAGGAAAACCATTGAAAAACTGATATTTAATAATTATCATAGACCTGCACCTATAAAGACTACCTTGCAAGTAAACAGAGTATGCCAAATGACAAGGCTAGCCCAGATGACAATTTTTAAATGTTAACACTCATTTAATATAAAAAGTAAAGTTACATGTGAAATATTTATGGTATGGATATTTGTCCCGTATTGTTTAGAGTTTTACTCGCTATCTAAACTTTAATTAAAAATACACTTAGATACTTTAAAATTACCAATGTATTTCTAATGATAACATGGTAACACAAGTTGCTAACTGGTAGCTTATTTAATGCTTGTTTAATGCGAAATGACTTTCTTCAGCAACGATATACAGTAAAGTGGCTAAAAGCACAAAATCTGGATCCCTGGTGTCTGGGACTGAGACTGAATTTTGACTCTGTCATTTACTTGCTAAGAAACACTAGGCAAGTCGTGAAAACACTATTCGTCCATGTCCTTGTCTAAACAATGAGTATAATGATTGTGCTTATCTTATAGGATTAAAGCGTTAAATGAGAATAAAATAGTTGATCTATATAAAGTGCTTATAGTTATATATGATTATCTGTATAAAGTGTTTGCCAAGACATAATAAATACTATATAAATGCTATTTACAAGATTTTACAGTGGCTCATAATAGCTGGTATGCTTTCTGCTATAAATATAATTGTTTATAAAATATTTGTATACTAGATATAGAAATTACAATTAGTTTTATGTTGCTGTCATTGGAATTAAGATTAGACACAAAAGGCCTGCTATGTTGAATACAGTATAACTTCAATGTTCTCTCATGAATTTACTAATATTATGTGAACTGGTATTTATACACTAATATTATCAGTTTAAGGCTAATGTCCAATTCAATTTTTTTAATCGGTTATTAACTAATTATTCTCTCAACCAAATATTTTACAGAAGTTGTGTTTTTGTGTTGATTTATTTTCACTGATGCCCAATGAAGAGACTAATAACTGTATCATATATTTCTTTTGTGTATAACATAAATAAGCTCTGAAAGCAAAATTGAGTAGAGAATTGATAAACATTGATTTCCTTACTTAAGCAAAAATTTAAAAATGACAGTAAACATCTTGCAAGGATATGTGGTTAAATTCAAGGTCTCCATCCTATTAATTTCTCATCCTCTTCTACCTTGACATGCAGTGATTTCTTTTTTCCCACTAGTCTTCAGCATTTGGCTACTCAGTGCCTAGATTGCTCCGAGTTGCTATAATGTACAGGTCTTACATAACATATGCGTTTGCCACTCTTTATTGGGAGGCAACCTTTTCTCATGTTTCTGTGGCTGCTGCTGCTGTTGCTTTTCCCACACCTTCTACGTTTCATTAGCCTTTGGTGAATCGTTACTACAAGGTGCATCCTCCTGACAAAATCAGAATTTCCCTCTCAAGATTTATACCTTATTTTTACTTTTAATTTTTTGGTCATCTGGCAGGTAAGGAATGTGCCAAGATTTCACTTGGTCTTAAAGATCACGGCCTTGATCTCAAGGCCGAAGGAAAAAATTCTTAACAGGTCATATACTTCGACCTTACCAGTATTCCTCCAAAATCATATAAGCATATTTACCAGTCTCTGTAATTGCAATGATTGCTTGCCAAAAGACCCCATTATCAGCACTATCAGGGCACAGATAAGAACACATCAACCTTTGGTGCATGCAAAGTGAGTGATGAGTGCACTAGGAGAACATAGAAAAAAGACACTGACCTCCATGTGAAGTATATGTGTGTGAGGGTTTTCTTGTGGAAGGTTGCTAGAAGAGGTGAAATAGTTGTACCTGAACCCAAGGTTTAATATTCCCTTAACATCTGTTCTCAGCACCTCTCCTCCAAAAAGGCTATTTACATTAGCCACATATATTTTGTGGAGCCTAGTGCAAGATAAAATTTAGGGATAATAGTGCAAAAATTATTAAGAATTTCAAGACAGTGACAGCATAGCATTAGGCTAAGCATTTGGCCCTTCTGACCATGGGACTCTGTGGCCACATAGGTTGCATGCCCGTGAAATTGAATCTGCAGGAAGAAGACTGTGTCTTAGGGAAAATAAAATTTATTTACTTTCTCATTTCAACTAAAAAATGTCTTGTTATTCTTTAGCCTTGGGTAACAGACCTAACTGTAATACATTTTGAAATACAAAGTTTGCAATGAATTGAATTCACTTCTGCTAATATTTATGAAGTAGTTACTTTGTACAGGGTACCACATTTATTATTAGAAAAGACAAAGGTATACTCTGGGTCCTAACGGATATCAAGAAGTACTAGGGAGATGATTGTGCACAACCACCTGGATTAAATGTATGACGGTGGTAAATGCTGTAAAAGAACTATGAGTATTATGTCCCTTCCACTTCCTCCTGCAACATTGCAATTGTTTCTGTGCTTGTTTGTCATCTAAGAGTCCTCAATTACTGTTTATCACAAAAATCTCAGTACCTCACATTGTATCTGGTATATAAGCAACTTCCAATATTTTTATTTTATGAGTAAATAAATGGCCCAAGGAAGAACCATATAAAAATTATGACTCTTTAAATTTATACCAGATAAAGTAGGGAAAGCAGGGACTTTTGAACCATGTGCTACCTGAGGTTGAATTGCAGCTCTGACTCCCATTTATTTTCTGCTTAGATAACTCAGGTATCCTCTCTGTTCTTTAAGAGCATAAGAGTTAATCAATGTGAGAATTGCTGTGAGATTTAGAGATAATGTATTCTAAATCTATGTGCTTGGCATAACCTCAATTCAAAATTCTTCACAGGACTAAATTTCTCTCTGATCTTCTGTTTCCCTAGTACAGTAAGGAAAGAACAAAAAACCCACAGCCAGATTCAGTGGACTCAAAATCAAGCTTTACCACTTACTGGGTGATAATGGTCAGTTTACTGAACTTCTCCAACCCTCCATTTTCTTCATCTATGAAATAGGGACAAAAGTAATGCTACCACCACGATACTGTTATAAAGATTATATTCATTTATATATGTAAAAGAGTGGGAAGCTATATCTGGCATATGGTAAACATTTTATAGAGCCTTTGAAATTATTAATATAATTACTGTAACCCCATTATTTAGCTGGACCAGTATCAGAACATCAAATTCATATTAGACTCCACCTTGATTGTTGCTTCCATCAAAACAGATCTCATATATATTCCTTTGATTCCATACCAATAACTACACTAGTTCATGCATGTTTATATTCTTGGTTAAAGTACAGCAGGTCCTGGAGTTACATCATTTTATTCAATACCATTTCATTATAATGTTGATGAGAAAACAAATCAATCCCTGCCCAGTGAATCATGCTGATAAGTGAGTTCTCTTTCAGTTAGCTCACGCACGATCTGATTGTTTACAAGTCTGGGACCTGTCCCCCTCACTCTCTTGATCCTGCTCTCACTGGCCCCCCACTTCACCTTCTGCAATGAGTAAAAGCTTCCTGAGACCTCACCAGAGGTGGATGCTGGCGCCATGCTTCCTGTATAGCCTGCAGAACCATAAGCCAATTAAACCTCTTTATAAATTACCCAGCTCCAGGTATTCCTTGACAGCAACGCAAGAATGGCCTAATACAATTGGCTTGTCTAAAAGATCACAGTCTATTGAGTGTGGGTGTGTGTGAGATGGAATGGCACCCTGTTCAGGGCTGGCTTCCACTTTGCATTTGGGAGCTGCTGGGAGAGGCTCCAGCGACCCACTATCCTGACCTGGAACAAGTGGGTTGGAAAGTAGACGAATGAATGAATACAAATTATTATAAAATAAAAATGTGCAAAGTATAAGATAATCATACCAATGCAGGATGCAGTACTAAAGTGCTCAATGGGCTCAACATACTGATTATCTGGTTTTAAACTGCATGGTGGTAGGAGGTGTGCCTATTGCTCCTAGGCTATAAATCTGTTACAGTGTGTTACTGTTCTGAATACTGCAGGGATTAGAACACAATGGTAAGTATTTATATATCTAAATATGCATAAACGTAGAAAAGGTAATACATTGTGCAACAGTGTTATGATAGCTAAAATGTCACTAGGAGGGGGGAATTTTTCAACTCCACTAGAATTTTATGGGACCACCTTCCTATATGTATGAGGCCCATCCTTGACTGAAATGTTATTATTCAGCATTATTGTGTTTACATTAAATAATTCAAATATTTAAAAATAAATATTAAACATAAGCTTATAAAATTTTCTTACTATCCAAATGGTATTCCAAAATAACAAAATTATCATTAAATCTACTGATATTTTACTTCACTGATTAAGCTAATGTGTCTTTGGAGACTCTTAGAAAAACTCTTACAAGGCACCAAAAAGTATGAAGTAATTCTTTTTATTATGATAATTCCAAAATTTCAAAAATGTTAGAAAAACTCTTACAAGGCACCAAAAAGTATGAAGTAATTCTTTTTATTATGATAATTCCAAAATTTCAAAAATGTTAGAAAAACTCAGGATCTCAAGCTGCAAAGTAATATTAATCTTAATCTTTAATAATAGCCATATATAAAACAATTTGGTTACTAGGCCGGGCACGGTGGCTCACACCTGTAATCCCAGCACTTTGGGAGGCTGAGGCAGGCAGATCACAAGGTCAGGAGTTCGAGAACCACCCTGGGCCAACATGGTAAAACCCCGTCTCTACTAAAAATACAAAAATTAGCTGGGCGTGGGGGTACCTGCCTGTACTCCCAGCTACTGGGGAGGCTGAAGCAGGAGAATGGCTTCAACCCAGGAGGCAGAGGTTGCAGTGAGCAGAGATTATGCCACAGCACTCTAGCCTGGGTGGCAGAGAAAGACTCCATTTCAAAAAAAAAAAAATTGGTTACTAGTGAATATGTAACTTTCTTAACAAATCTTCTTTCCTCACCAACATAATGTGAAAATGAAAATTAAACTTTGCCACAATTATAATCCTATTTGATTAATTACTGAAAAATATATTAATCAGATAAACCATATCTTAGAAAACATGAAGTTCTGCCGTGATCAAAATTTGGATACTTAATTGTTTGAGAGAAAATTTGAAAATATTTTGGCAAATCAGTGAGAAATAAAACAAAAAAGAAAGATCTTATAAAGTTATGAGGCTTTTCAATGCAATGCTTCCTAAAACTTAGAGCACTTTTTTTCCCACACTTTAAAACTGATATCATATTATTAGCACAATATTACCAGCTCACTAGAAAATCAGAAAAATTGTCTGAGACAGTTGAAGAAAAAGGTAAATTCAGTTGAGAAAAAGGGAAATCTAGAAGTAGAAGGTAACAAAAAATGTTAAGAAAACAGGGATAAATTTAATTAAAAAACAACTCAACAGTCTGAAAACATAACATGTAAAGTTAAAAGTATTTAACAGTACACTGGACAACACAAATATCATCATCTGTATTTATTTGTGGATTTACTCAAGGAATTTTTAGTGAACCTCTAGTATGTTCAAGGCAATGATTTATGCTCTGGGAAACATTAAAAATAATCATCCAGATACCTGCCCTTAAGTTGCCTAGGGCCAAATAGGATTTCTAATACATGAACTTAAATAATCAAAGTGCAGAGCACAGAGAAACAAAAGTCACAAAGACTACAAACCAACTGCTATACTGTTTGAAGATTCAAAGAATTACTGCCATAGAGGTTGTTCTTGAGTTGGGGAGACTGTTCTACAGATAGAACAAGAGAGCACAGTATTGTATGATAGGAAATGACACAAGCATATATGGGGAACAGTAGTTTATTTATGCTCAAGTGTAGCACGTGTGGATACGTAGTTGGTGGGGAGAAGATAAAGGCAATACTTCAGTAAGGGTTTCAAGCACTCAAATAATAACTGAAGATCTCCATTTTATTGGTAAAATAGAGCAATTATACACATTTTTTTGAACAAGGAATAATGTCAGTTAAGTAATGTGATAAACTCTTAATAAAGATAAAATATTCTAGGGATGCGATGCCAGAAATCTACATTAAGGGCTCTCAACCCTAGAGAGAGGGCCATTTGCAGAATACAGTGATGAGGCCTCAAGGGCCTGGTGCGGTGCTCACTGCAGGAATGGGAATCAAGATGAGTGACTTATGGGGTGGAAGTTTAAACACTCACTTCCCCACAATTCATTCACCTCCTCTAATTTTAACATAAACAACTAATGTTTTCTCCACTAAAAATGTTGTATATTTTGAAATTACAACTTTCCCTCTTGCTACAAAATTGCCACCCTTGAGTTCCTCTGATACAAATTCTGGATATACCCACATAAAAGTTATACTTTTTTTTTCTTTAAAAAAAGAACACTTCTAGAGCCAGTATTAGAGAAGGTTGTCATGAAGAAAGAATCAATATTATACACTAATTAGGAAGTAAGATTTGCAGTGATCACTGGCATTTTAAGCCTGAGAGTTGGAGTGATCATAAGAAGGAATATGCTAATGTATAAACAAGATGAGCTTAATGGTAGGTGTAATGCGTCTGAAGTGCCACCTGATACCAAAGGACGTAATCAAGTTAGTGCCTAGGAATCAGTAACTTCATCTTGAGACTACAGTTGTTTTGGAGCTTAGAAGAGAGGACACATGTGTGAATAATACCAGTGAGAAAGAATTTAAAAAAGGAAAGAAGAGGGAAACTGAGGGAAGAACACTGAAGAATATCCAAATTTAACTGATGGGAGAAGGAAGAATAATCACAGAAGTAACACAGTAAATGCATTCAGGAGAAGAAAAAACAGGTGGCAGGGAAGATTTAAAAAATAAAAAGTAAATAATTGATGAACAACAACCCTTGTCAATTCTCTGGCTTTATCTAATGTCTTCTTCGTGTGTGTGTGTGTGTGTGTGTGTTTAAATCATTTATTGTAATATTTTGGAAATCATCAATAAGAAGGGGGAATGTAGAAAGAAACATAATTACCATAATCCTAAAATCTAGAATTAACCACTGTGAAGATTCTGGCGTATTTCCCTCAATGCTATTTAAATGTACTTTACTTACGTGAAATCATACAAATACCAAGTCATAATGTAGCTATGTTTTTCCTTGTTGTGTAATGTATATATATCATTGTATTTGAAACTCTTCTGAAACATTTTAATGGAGATATATCTACCCTATATTTATGTAATAATTTAGATAATTTTCACAGTCTTTCGTAAAGTATAGTTCACATATATTTCTTCCTTCACTTTTGGAATAACACTTAGAATTGTGTCTTAGATAAAAGAGATCAGCAAACCTAAACTCACAGGCCAAAGAATTGGGAAATATAAGTTAAAGGTTTTCTTCCTTGCTATTTATTCATTCTCAGATTCCATAATTCCTTGCACTAAAATGAAAAGCGTCTCAATCCAAGGCAGTGGTTCTCCCAGAAAGCACATTTTAAATATCTGTTTTTGGCCTGGCGTGGTGGCTCACGCCTGTAATTCCAGCACTTTGGAGGGCCGAGGCGGGCGGATCACGAGGTCAAGAGATCGAGACCACCCTGGCCAACATGGTGAAACCCCGTCTCTACTAAAAATACAAAAATTAGCTGGGCATGGTGGCATGCGCCTGTAGTCCCAGCTACTCACAGCCTGAGGCAGGAGAATAGCTTGAACCCAGGAGGCGGAGGTTGTAGTGAGCAGACATCACGCCACTGCACTGCAGCCTGACGACAGGGCAAGACTCAGTCTCAAAAAAAAAAAAAAAAGCTTTTGGAGAACACTGGCGGTTACAATGATTAGGCACCACTGGCATTGGCAACACAGGACCTGGGGTGATTCTGTATGTAGGAGTAAACATCTAACTACTCCACCATAATACATCACAGAGACTTGCTAAGCATCTACATACAGAAATGAAAGTTAGTTTAGAATTGCAAACATTTGTTTCTCTTTTATGTTGTAGTTAGTTCATTACATAGATTTTTAAAATTTTGTATGTTATATTATCTATGAATTTCATTTTAGTTTAATAAAATGATATTATACTGGTTTTAAAAGGGTGTAATGGCTCTAAAACGGGGACATCTACTAGTCTCAAGCATTATATTAATAAATTCCTTCTTAATAATTGATAAGATCCCTACCTGCCTGCTAATCTAACAAAATATTCAATGTGATTATTTTTACACTACATGCTATGCATTTTAAAAGTTGTGTGTTTATTACTCTTGTTCTTAAGACAGAAGGTAAGTATAAATGTTTAAGGAAACCTGATTTATAGAAACGTAATAATTTGAAAATAACTGGAAAGAGACTAAGAATATCAGTGCTGTACCTTACAGTGGTTTATTTCAATTTGTTGGTGTTAGAAGGATCAATAAGTAGATATGATATCATCCTGAGATCATTGTTTAGGTATGAGATTGAAACTTCTGAGAAATGCATTTGTGATTATTATTTTTTCTCCTAAGTTACAGATTAATTGAAACAGAGAAAAGGAACTAGACCAAATTTCCTGGGAAAATGTAGAAAGGATCATTAAAGCTTGTGTGTTTGGGTGAATAAAATTGAGAAATGTTTTCTACACATCTGCCTACGCTTTATGTTTATGGAAGTAAGGATATTTCTTTGTTAAATTAATGAGGTTGCAGCTCCACAGTTAATTGTGAAGAGTTCCACTCAATAAAAAGCACTAAACATATCGAAGAGGCTGCAAAAAAGGGATTTATTTCTTTGAAAAGTCAGCCTTTCCATTTTATTGAGAAATGAGGAAGAACATTGTTGGAGTAATTGAAAAAGCAATGTACAATGGGATGTTTTGTTTACAAATATTTAAATACTATTCCATGAACTTATATTTATATTTCAGGGGGCTGCATATGCATTTGGAAAATAAAAATTTCCATTTTACCATATACTCCATAGCTTCCTGACAACAGGGTATATGTTCTTCTGAAAAAAAAAAAAAAAAAAACTGATTTCTCAGTAGGTGGGCAACAATTTGCAGCAACTCTTAAAAAGAACAAATGCAACTGTCTCTAAGGAAAATCTTCTCCCTTAATAGAAGTATAGAAGTTATGCACGTTGTCTAAAATGCTCAATGCCTTATTTTCTAGACCATCTAGTTCATTTAATCGTCCTCAAAACACTTATACAAATCTATTTTTTATTTTTCTTAAAATGTGTCAGAAACTGCTGGTTCCCTATTCAATAGCTATTCCTTCCTCTCTTCCTCAGAGATTTGTGCTGCCTCCCTGTGTGATGTAGGAGCAAATGATAAATATTAGTTATATTAATCCCATTCCCAAGTCCAAAAATGGTTGTGACTTTGTTCTGGCCACTTAAGGGGAGCTGGCTGAGGTAAATCTGTTAAATCTTTCCTCATACTGAGAAAAACAGCAAATTTGGGAATCTGCCCCTTCTCTTCTGCTGATAGGATGGTGTTTGTAGCTGACGCAGTGGACTGTGGCAAAAAATCTTGCTACCTTTAAAAGAGTTAACCTGAGGACCAGACTCAGGGTAGAAAATGGAACGAACGTGGGAACTTGATGCCATAGCTAAACCACTGCTTTCAAATGCTCTCTCCACACCACTTTGTGATTAGTCGTTGCTAGGAACCTCATAACAGATGAAATATGTAATGGCGTATTCAGATTCCTGTCATTATCACCTTGTTCCTTTGCCTTGAATGCCCTACATGCTCTTTCAAGCCTATTCAAATTAATATATTCAATAAATAACTTGAACTCCACTTTACAGTCTTATGCTAAATGCAATTGCCTTTATTTTTCTCTTCTTCCTATGAATTTTCACAGCCCTTATGATCAATAATAAACAATTTACCATAAAATCATGTTTAATTTTGAAGTTTTGTTTTATAATAAAATTATTCACTTTGCACCTATTGGGTATCTATAATGTGTTAGGCTTCGTGTTACACATGTGGAATGTAAAGCATAACAGTACTCTGTTCCTGTCCACACATAGTTCAAGGATAGAAGAGAAAACAGATATAAATAAAGGCAATCTCTTTATTCCTACAAAGCTGGCATGCAGGCATGTGCAAGAAGCAATGGTGGCAGAAAGGAGACAATAATCTGATCTATCTGAAGGCAGTCAGAGACTCTGAGCTCTGTCTTAAACAATGAGTTGGAGTTCACCAGGTTGACGGGTGATTAAGGGCTTTATAGTCAGAAAGGATAGGATGTACAAAGGCAAAGAAGTGTGAAACAGTGTGACACCTTCAAGGACCTAAAGTTAATTTGTTTTGGCTCGAGGATAAACTACAAGGAGGAAAAGGCTCATAAATTTAGCTGGAAAGGTAGGCACTGGATACATCATAAAATTTTGTATTCTATATTCGTTAGCCAATTAAATTGTGAGGTCACTTATGTTTCCAGTGAACATATTCTAGAATTTGCAAGATCCTACTGATTTTGAACTTTCTGTACTTTTGGCCCCATAGATTCACTTGAATTTATTTGACAGCGCTTACTGATGCTCAGGATAGATATCATGGTCATTACATGCTACTCCACTTTTTTTTTCTAACCATAGCATCTAAAACTGCAGTGCATATGGCAGGAATTCCATTTCTTTATGGATTTGCTGTGTTGTTTATCTAGATAGAGTTGGAAAATCTTGCAGGAAGTCTTAATACAGTATTTCCTCTTTATTAGAGATTTAATTTTCTGTTGTCAGGATGAATCTTAGAATCCTGTCTTTCATATCTGCCTCTTCTAAGTTCTGTTTTCCTCTAACTAATTATGTACCATTAAAATTATCCAAATGGAAATTTGCCAAGAGATCTCTTTAAATGGAGTCTCTTTAAGTTTATAGACATACAAGTTATTGTATTTTGTTAATTTTTATAGGTAGATGGGTATATATATTTAAAGGGTATATTCAATATTTTAATACAGGCATACAATGTGTAATAATCACATGAAGGTAGATGGGGTAACCATCACCTCAAGTATTTGTCATTTTTTGTGCTATGGACATTCCACTTATACTCTTTTAGTGATTTTTTAAATGTACAATAAATTATTGTTTACTGTAATCACCCTGTTGTGCTATTAAATACTAGATCTTATTCATTCTCACTATATTTTTATATCCACTAACCAATCCCACTTCCCCCTCCCCATTTCACTCCCTTCCCAGCCTCTGGTAGCCATCCTTCTAGTCTCTATTTCCATAAGCTCAATTGCTTTAATTTTTAGCTCCCACAAATGAGTAAGAACATATGTAGTTTGTCTTTCTGTGCCTGGATTATTTCACTTAACGTACTGTCCTCCAGTTCTATCCATGTTCTTGCAAATGACAGAATGTTAACCTTTTTGTGACTGAATAGTACTTCATTGTGTGTATATATACACCACATTACCACATCTTATTTATTTATTCATCTGTTGATGCACAATTAGGTTAATTCCAAATCTTGGCTATTGTGAATAGTGCTACAATAAATATGGGCATCCAGATATCTCTTTGATATACTGATTTCCTTTCTTTGGGGTACATACCTAGCAGAGGGATTGCTGGATCATATGGTAGTTCTATTTTAGCTTTTTGAGGAACCTCCAACCTGTTCTCCATAGTACCTGTACACATTTACATTTCTACCAATATACCAACACAGATTATTGTTAATCAACAATTTAAAATATCTATTCAACATGTCTTTCTGCAAGTAGTATGCTTAATATCAGTGAAAACTAATTTCCTTTCCCACACAAGAAAAAATATTATCCGTGAATACAAATAGTCACTAATTAGGTATCAAATTACTAATATGAACAAGGAAATAGAAATGACATTAATATCAATTTTTGTGTTCATTTTTAGATAATTTTTAAATCCCCATTAATTAATAATTGAATTGAAATTTAACAGTGATATTAGCAAAGATAGGATGAAAACTTCCAACATACACTTAACATTTAAGGCTTATTGAAGAGAAAAAGAAAGCTTAAGGGTAATCTTGCTGTATTTGTCCATTTTCATACTGCTATAAAGAACTGCCTGAGATTGGGTAATTTATAAAGGAAAGAGGTTCAATTGACTCACAGTTCTGCCGGATAGGCTGCAGCAAACTTACAGGGGAAGGGAAAGGGGAGGCAAGGCACCTTCTTCACAAGGCAGCAGGAAGGAGATGTTCCTAGCAAACGGGGAAGTGCCCCTTATAAACCATCAGATCTCCTGAGAACTGATTCACTAACAGAACAGGTTGGGAAAAACTGCCCTCCTGGGTCAATTACTTCCACCTGCTTTCTTCCTTGAAATGTGGGGATTGTGGGGATTACAATTCAAGATGAGATTCGGATGGGGACACAAAGCCTAACCATACCACTTAGTGATGCTTTTAGTTCTACAGTTCACCTGTGATTTTGTATGAGTAAAATTACAGATAAGAATTTGGTCATTTTCTATCTCCGTAAGAAATCTCAGAGATATTTAAAATGTGTATCACTAAGGACCACTGTAATAAATAATATACAAACTGTATCCAGAATCTATGGAGTAGTGCTTAATGTGTGGAGGCTAATGCCATAATAATTATTTGTTTTCAGTGGAGCTATTAAATATCCTCAGGTCAATGTTTTAGCAAAGAATTAATCATTACTATTATTATATAAATGTCAGTAGCATTGTGCTTGTAATTTTGTTGTTGATGTTGTTGCTCCTGGAACAATATATCACTTAACTTTTACTTTAAATTTTGATCATTTGTTAAACCTTACATTTTCTAACAGTGTTAAGGGGTGCAACATATCCCAAATGCCTTCTCCAACATATCTGAATTTGAAGCCTATGTGTGTGCCACAGAAGACCACATAAACTCAATACCATCACTTACTGTCATAAAATGCAACTGCTAGCACCACTTATCCTGTCTACTTAGTATGAGAAGAAAACAAATTACACATGGGGGCTACCAGAACCTTCATATTACTCAATTATAATCAGTAATGTGTAAAAAACAGTATGATTGGTTTGGTTGGAAGCAGAAAAATAACAAAATAAGCAATCATGAAAAGGAAAAGAAATGAAAATACACAATGAGCTGTAATTTTCAAGCATTGGAAAATACAGAACTATTTTCCCTGATGTGTTTCCATCAGATTTCTCTTTCCTTTAATCTCCTGTGTCCTGTAAAGAAATTCATACAAATAAGATTGATTTTCCAAATACCAAAGAAAATTAGATGCTGTATCTTTTGTGGAAAATATCAGAAACTTTTTTTTTAACAAATCATGTCATACTACAGTAGACATAAATGTCCAATTTTTTGTATTTGTGAATATATCTATAGGATGACAAACACTGAGGTAACTTTTAATCTATTTTTTAAAAAGCTTCAGTGCTTTTTATCTTTTAATATTAAAGTCTGGAAACCTGGATACACTGAGATCATTACCTGAAATTTTCACATATCAGTTATTACCACATTTAGGATTCTTTAGGTTAAATTGTGTGTGTGTGCTTGTGTGTGTGTGTATTTGTGGTTTTCATGTTTCTATATATTTGGGAGTGTTAAGACAGCACTTTTACCAACAATGGGGAGCTTCTCCTCAAAAGTAAAGTACTTTTTTTTGGTTTGTTTTTGTTTTGTTTTGTTTTTGAGAAGGGCCTCCCTCTGTCACCCAGTTCACTGGGTGCAACCTCGGTTCACTGCAGCCTCTAGCTCCCAGGTTCAAGTGATTCTCCTGCCTCAGCCTCCTGAATAGCTGAGGTTACAGGCATACACCACCATGACAGGCTAATTTTCTTTTTTTTCAGTGGAGACAGGGTTTCACCATGCTGGTCAGGTTGGTCTCAAACTCCTGACTTCAGGTAATCCGCCCACCTCGGCCTCCAAAAGTGCTGAGATTACAGGCGTGAGCCACTGTGCCTGGCCCAAAAGTAAAGTAGTTCGTATTGGAATAAATAAGTTGCTTCAAATCAAGAAGGTGAAGTCAAGCATATGGCAGCAATATTTCACCAAAAGACATGTTACTTAATTTTAAATGATATTATATAAAGTCATAGCAAGAGTTTGTATTTTAGTTCAAACGTCTGTCATAATTGTATCTTTTTCACTGCTTTTTTGGAAATATAAAAATATCTTAAAAACAAACACTTCCCGCATGCAACATCAGTCTTAACTTGGTGAACAAAGTTGTTACTGATAACCTACCAATACTACTATCATCATAAACTTTCATATCTAAACCAGAGTTTTACTTTCTGATCATATGATATTTTATGACAATTCCCTTAAGAGTTGTCAGTCGACATTAAATGAAAAGAAGGAAATAAAGTTGCTAAATAAATAATATTTATAGGAGAGAGAAAACAAGAAAGTTTCCTTTGATAATAGAAAAAGAATATTACTACAATTTCTCTTTCATATTTTCATAGCTTTGAGCTAGCCTCAGGTTGAAATGTTGTTTCTAATTTTACATTTCTTTTGATTTGTTTTATCTACATTTATTTCAAAGTTTAGATGATGACCAGTCACATGTAAATCTACTTTTACTTAAGACAGATCTAAAATAAAAGTAGTATTTACACGATTTGTATTTTAATCAATTGTTCAGTATGGATCTTGAGCCAATCCCTCTTTCTGGTATTTGCATGTATACTTTTAAAAATTCCTGTTTAGTGATATTTAAAATAGTGTTTTTAGGCCCATACATCAGAAAAATAAATAAATCATATTGACATGAACATTTATGTGCTAATATAAAATAAATTTATTATTTATTTGGTTGCAGAAACAAAATGTGATTTTCAATGATGTTATTGGAGAAACTTAAATCTTTGCAGAGTATTGATGTATTGTTAGATGTTTTGTAAAAACAGTGAATAATTCACGAAAGTGCAGAATTTATAACCAATTCTAGGCATTCTTCTGTTTTTATATGAGTGTCTCTCTTGAACATATATACAGAGTATCTGATTTTTTGTTCTTATGTATACATCATATTATGCAGTAAAAGATTACAATATCCTCGCTATTTTTCAATGCGGCATGTTTTACATCATCCCAATTATTTTAGTTTCTAATAGCACTATGTCTATTGGCTGGTACATGTTGTAATTTAAGAACATTGTGCCGTGATGCATGTTTTTCTTTTTCTTTTTCTTTTTGAATCTACTGAGCCTTTCTGGGCATATAGTAGATACTCAAGAAAAGCTTGTTGAAATGAATTGCACTAGCAATCACACTTTTTAAATTACTCTAAAATATACACCAGCCTCTTTATAAAAAATGCATGATGTAAACAGATATTTATAAGTGACATCAAGTTTTATTTAAAAAGGTTCAAAGGCCAGGCGCAGTGGCTCACGTCTGTAATCCCAGCAATTTGGGAGGCTGAAGTTTACTTGAGCCAAGGAGTTTGAGATCAGCCTGGGCAACATAGAGAGACCCAGTCTCTATAAATTAAGAAAATAAAAAGATAAAAATATTCTTGAAGTCTTTGGCCATGCCTATGTCCTAAATGGTATTGCCAAGGTTTTCTTCTAGGGTTTCTACAGTTCTAGGTTATTGCAACAAAAGCCAAAATTGACTAATTGGATCTAATTAAACTAAACAGCTTCTGCTCAGCAAAGGAAACTATCATCAGAGTGAACAGGCAACCTACAGAATGGGAGAAAATTTTTGCAATCTACCCATCTGACAAAGGTCTAATATCCAGAATCTACAAGGAACTTAAACAAATTTAAAAGAAAAAAAAACAACTCCATCAAAAAGTGGGTGAAGTATATGAACAGACACTTCTCAAAAGAATACACTTATGTGGCCAAAAAACATATGAAAAAAAGCTCGATATCACTGGTCATTAGAGAAATACAAATCAAAACCACAATGAGATAACATCTCATGCCAGTTAGAATGGCAATCATTAAAAAATCTGGAAACAAACAGATGTTGATGAGGTTGTGGAGAAACTGGGAACGCTTTTACACTGTTGGTGGGAGTGTAAATAAGTTCAACCATTGTGGAAGACAGTGTGGTGATTCCTCAAGGATCTAGAACCAGAAATACCATTTGACCCAGCAATCCCATTACTGAGTATATACCCAAAGGATTATAAATAATTCTACTATAAAGACACATGCACACATATGTTTACTGCAGCACTATTTACAATAGCAAAGACTTGGAAGATAGACTGGATAAAGAAAATGTGGCACATATATACCATGGAATACTATGCAGCCATAAAAAATGAGTTCATTTCCTTCACAGAGACATGGAAGAAGCTGGAAACCATCACCCTCAGCAAACTAACACATGAACAGAAAACCAAACACCGCGTGTTTTCACTCATCAGTGGGAGCTGAACAGTGAGAACACATGGACACAGGAAGGGGAACATCATATACCATGGCCTGTCAGGGGATGGGGGGACAAGGGGAGGGAAAGCATTAGGACAAATACCTAATGCATGCGAGGCTTAAAACCTAGATGATGGGTTGATAGGTGCAGCAAACCACCATGACACGTGTATACCTATGTAACAAACCTGCACATTCAGCACAGGTATCCTAGAACTTAAAGTAAAAAAAAAAAAAAAAAAAAAAAACCAAACCATAAAGAGACATACCAGTCAAATATAACGCATGCACATGTCTGGCTCCTAATTCAAAGAGACAAACTCTAAAAAGACAATTTCTACGAAAGCTAAGTATATTCTTAGTCTATGACTCAACCATCTCCCTTTGGGATATATAGCCACCAAATTAGTGCTTAAGTCCACCAAAAAAAAATTTACAAGAATGCTTAGTGTATAACCAAAAGCTATCAACAACCTAAATGCCCTCAATGGTAGAATAAATAAATTGTACTAAATCCATATTATGGAATACTATATAGCAATGAGAAGTTAAAACGAAGGAGCGAATATGTCACAACAACTGCAAAGATGAATCTCAAATATAACATTCAGCAAAAGAAGCCAGAAATAGAGAATATATGCTGCACAATTTCATTTATATGAAGTTCAAAAACAGGCAAAACTAATATAGAGTGATAGAAGTCAAATGGTGATCATTTTTAGAGGTGGGAAGAAGGTGCTATTGGCTGGAATAAAGTGCAAAGGAATCATTTGAGATACAGAAAGTGTTCATATCTTGACCATGGAGATGGTTACAAAGGTGTATCATATGTAAACATTCATTGAATGGTACACTTAAGATTTGCGCACTTTTCTGAGTATATGCTATATCTCAATTTTTTAAAAAGCATAGAAATTAAAACAAAAAGCAAGCTAAAAAAAGATTCAGTAAGCATATAATAATCAGCAACATGAAAAATTGTATTATTCATCCTGGAAGAACTAACCTCTAGGTGAGGAAGAACTCAAATTCCTAAATATGGTAAAACTAGGAAACAATTTAAGGTACAACCTCAGTTGTAATTACAAATAAGGCAACTACTAAACATAATGGGATTTTATATGCAAATATGTATTATGTCCTTCAAATTAATCATATTATAAGCCAGATATTTATATCAATCATAATTTTATCATTCAAAACATTTTAAGATCCTGTTTTGATATTATTCAATTGAATAGCCCCAATGACATCATTTTTTTTCCAAACTTAATGCTAGTTTATTAATTTACTATGCAAATGAATTGGTTTGAGAACAAATTACCTTATCTATTTTTTTTTCTTTTTGTCTTAAGGAAATTCAGTTGGGAAATGTGCACATTCTTGAGTTCTGGAAAACGAGCATAAACTTTTGACAACTCAACAATTTCATCACCAAAGAAAAGTTCCCTCAACTCCCTTCCCATTCATTCCAAACCCTTTATAATCAACTGTCACTTTTCTATCAACATTGAGTAGTTCTGCCATTGTTCAACTTCATATAAATGGTCAACTTCATATAAATGGAAATATACACTAAGTACTTTATCAGCTAATTTTCTTTTGGGATCATTTGTTAAATGTGTTGTGAAAAAGTTTGTTTGATTGTATTATTACTTCCTTCTTTTTTTTTATTGTATTCACCAGTGAATAGCTTAAAACCTTTATGCCTTAGCTTAAACTTTTCTTATGGGAAGGTTTTTGATGCTGGAGTATTTGTATTTCCTATTTCTTCCTGTGCCAATTTTGATAAATGTGTTTTTCATGGAATTTGTCCAATTTATCTATGTTTAAGACAATGACAACAAACTTAATCTTTAGGATTGACTTCACTTAACATACTGAAAAGTTGTTCATAAATAAAGCAAATGATTTGAGTAAGCAACAGTTATTCTAGACTTTATGAAGTAAAAATAAAAATATAATTTATAGGGCAAATATATATGAAGTACATGGCTTATACATTGACTTTAAAATTTTCTGATGCTAAACTTAAGTTAGATATATTCCAGCTTTTACTAATTGTAACTTTTACTGTAATATTCATAAATTTGCAAAGTCTTTTTAAAATGTTTCCCTAATCCATATATTACGTGCAAAATTCTATTGATGTTTCTGTTTAACTTGTGCAATTTTTTTGTTTTGTTTTTTAAGGTAACCCTTTGTCCTGGTTTTGTGGACTCTTTTGACATTTTTAGTTTATGCATAATTTAATGATGCTACAGATTTTAACCTCATCACTCTCAGCACTGGGATTTCTAGAAAGAAGCATTAGTGTGTTTTACATGACAGGGAAACAAAACAAAACAAAAAAAACCTCTGTTTGGAGCCAGACAGGTCTAAATTCAAACACCTCTTTTTAAGCAGAGAGTAGAGTGACCTCTAGTATATATTTTATGTTCTTTGAGCCTCAGTTTCCACACTTATAAATGCAGTAGTTATAGGCTTTGGTAATGAGATCATGAATATAACCCTGAGGAATGATCCTAGCAAAGTGCCTGATACATTGTATACTCTAAGCCTTGCTGCTTAAAGAGTATTTCAAGGTCAGCAACAGCAACAAGCAGGGCCATGTAAGCTTGTAGAATATCAGGACCGGTCACAGACTTATTGAGTCTGTATCTGCATTTTTAGAAAGATTTACAGATGATTTGCATGTTCATTCCAGGTTGAGAGTCAGCTTCTATATTACTATTAGTACTGCTACTTGTACTTCTTAGTTTTTACTCACAGTGCTCTATTAGAGCAACTTCTTTTTGATGTTCTCTAGTCTAATTATATTAATGTTGAAGTTTAACAGGGAGAAGTACACATATTATCTGAGTGAGGTCCACTAGAGTGGATTTGAAAAAAAAAAAAGTTATTTTAAAACCATTGGTATACCTTGATCTGTAAAATATATTTAAGGTTTAAAAATGGCCAGCATGGTGTGGTACAAAAAAGATCATATAAATATAATACTTGTTTTTACTTAATTAGAAGCATGTATATAAAGATCTCATTTATTGTAAAAGTATATTTGTCTATCTCTTGGTCCATCTATCTTTTTTTTTTTATCTGCATGCATATGGAAATGGAGGTAGCTTGCCAAATACTAGAAATGATTCTGCCTGGATATAGGGGCTCAGGCTGTTTCTCTTCATTTTCTTCTCCTTACTTTTCTGTATTGCTTGCATTTTTATTAATAGAAACCATTTAAAATTATTTTCAGGAAAAGAAACATTATTTCTGAACACAGATACCAATTTTTAAAGAGAGACCAAAAATGAAACCAAAACTCCCTTTGCACGCAAAATCTCCTTGAGGGAAGAAAGGGTGAGACCTGTGCAAAAAGAGAAGATGAGATGATCTTCTCTCGTCACTCAGTAAAGCAGAATAGTCAGAGACAGGAGATAGATTCTGGAGTCACAACCAGTTTGAAGTTATTAGGGAGGGGGAAGATACTGCCCAGAGCACGGCCAGGACAGTTCTTGACGGAACCATTTTCATACCAGTGCGGACTAAGTGGTCGTCAGGAAGCCAGCTCACCAGCTGTGCTGGAGAGAGGCAGCCTGAAGAGAGAAACCAGTGTGGCTGGCTGGCAACGCAGACCTCATTATCGGAAGAGGGAGCTCTGTCCCCTACACCTGAGGAAGTTAAATGGCTAATTAAATCCTTCCCTGCTGAAGCCAGAAAACAAGCCTGAGGGCTGGGCTTTAACCCTATTGCACTGCAATAAGCAGTAGCACTGGTGTGAACAGGGGTTTGCAGAAAGCCAAGGATGCTCATGAGGTTTATATGTTTAGTAGGGTAATTCCTGGAAGAGAAGTAAAGCTAAAGGATAAAGACCCGGTATGTAAAAGCAACAGGCCATTTTCAAGCTATCTAAATTCTTTTTAAAAATAGTACTAATCAAGTTTTGTATTCTAAAACAAATATTTATTAAGTACCTGAAAAATGTCTGGTACTGATGTAAGGTCCTGAGAATGAATACATAAAACACACAGTACTTGCCCTCTAGAAGCTTATTTCAATGGGAAGGACTGACCTATAAACTAATAATCACATTGCAATGCATTCGCCATAACAGAGATGATTACAATGCAGCATGGGAGAGACATAAACAAATACATGATGTCAAGACATCCAGCAATCTGACCTCTCCACTGGCAACTTCGAGGAAAAATTGAAGCAGGGTATATTTTTTACCTTGATTTACAAACTCTCTTTTTCAATCATCCTTCACCCATGCTTTTTTTCTGACCTCCACTTAAAGTTCACCTGACCCTCATTGGCCCCATTACCCTCGCCTGGCCTGGTTCATTTCTAAGCTATAAAGAGTTACAGCAAAAATTTCAGAGTAATATACTTTAAGGAATTATCTGAAAGGAGGGTTGTATTTATAATCTAAGAATCAATTTGGGGAAAAAAACACCTCATTTTCCAGAGGATCAACTCTGGAAAAGTCAGTTTTCTATCAAATGATTCCACACTGATATTTTCAAAGTCTGCCAGTAATGCTCAACCTTGTCGGCTTCCTATTTTTGCTTTCAAATTAGGGTAAGGATGAGTCATCGCCAACCACCATGAATGATGCCAGACAAGGTGGGGAAATCTCTCCTGGAACTGTGGCTAACACAAGGTAAGAATCTAGAAAAAGAGTCAGGGAGATTTCCTCTTCCATTTATTCACTTAAGGTCACATGTTCTAAAGGAGATCTGATTATTTTTAAAATTATTTTCAAACTTCTAGAAATCTAATGCTCTCTGCCTTTTTTCACAATTACTTTCTATTTACTCAAACAAAATATACTCAGTCACCCATATTGTGAACTAGTTTATTTTGTATAGAATTTTAATGTTTCTCTGCCTTGTCTTCACATACTTAACGATTTACTACATTCAAAGTGAGCTTCTAGCCAAAATTAACTGTGTAACTTCTTTTAGTAAAATTTCTCTGGGGCTCTTCGCAGCTTTGAGAATGAAATGCCTGGTTTCCTAAGGGCTTTAAGAACTGGCCAGTGTATTTCTCCAGCCTAACCCAGCCTGCTTCTCACGGGCATCCTTTGCTCAAGGCATGGTATTAATATCTCCAATAGATTGTATCCCCTAACATTCTAATACCTTTAAACAAGCTGCTGTTTTAGATGCTATCTTTCTCTACTCTAGACCATCTAGGAATTGAACCCATATCTTAGTCTACCTGTGCACTCCGCTTTCATCTAAAATGTCTTTCTTGACACTTCTCACAGGGAGGAATTAAATACTCCTATCCTATATCCCATGACACTCCAGGCATATTTTTTCAGAGAATGTATCACATTATAATTGCAATTGTTGATTACTTGTCTTTGTTTCTTGTAGGAGATTTGTAGCTTAGTCCCTAGAATAAAGTAGGCATCTACTGTTGAATTAGACCATTTTTACACTGCTATAAAGAACTGCTGGAGACTAGGTAATTCATAAAGAAAAGAGGTTCAATTGACTCACAGTTCAGCATGGCTGGGGAAGCCACAGGAAGTTTAAAATCATGGCAGAAGGTGAAGGGGAAGCAAGGCACCTTCTTCACAAGGTGGCAAGAAGGAGAATAATGCAGGAGAAGCTACCAAACCCTTATAAAACCATCAGCTCTCCTGATAACTCACTCACTATCACGAGAACAGCATGGGGAAAACCACCCCTATGATTCAATTACCTCCACCTGGTCTCTCTCTTGCTGCATGGGGATTCTGAGGATTGTGAGGATTACAATTCAAGATGAGATTTTGGGTGGGGGCACAGCCAAACTGTATCACCTTTGCATTAATTACTTAATAAATTAATAAATGAGTCATAGAATATTAGAGCTAGACTTCATATTACAACATTATAAATTATCTAATATATTCTGCTTCTACAGAGGCAGAAATTGAACTTTTGAAATTAATTTAGTTTTACAAAGTGATCTAATGAAGTTTCCCTTGAATTCTAAAGCTTTTTAATTTTTACTTTACTTCTCCTCTTCTGAATACTCTAAAATATCTCCTTCCCATACCATTTATTCTTACTGTACATGGCACTTTCCTACATATCTCTTCGTGCCACACATATATTCTTGCATTTCAATGACAAAGATGACACTTCAGCCATTCTTCCTACTCTCAGACTTCTATGGAAGATTTCACCTTTTTTTTTTTTTTTTAGTCAACATTGATTGTCTGCTTCCCTTGCACATGTCTCCATTGGCAGAACTGCCAATATTTATTTTAGGAGAACAATAGCGTTTTAAAGAGAAGGAAAATAAAAATGTGAGGCTGCTTTGAGCTGCATTAGGATCTGGTTACCATGATAATATTGCCACATTTTCTGACTACATATGCCAAGAGTATTTCAAAAACTAAAAGAATGCTTTTTGGTGCTATATTAGAAATCTATAGGAGATTTCTAAGCAGTTTCCTCCATTAAATTCCAAAGATACCAATATGTTTGTGTATTAGTCAGTGTCCTTGGTGAAGTAAATGCCAAGAAGGAATCTGATGTGCAAGTGATTTACTGGGGAACTGCTAATGATAGAAAAGGGAAAATAAGTGGGAAGAAGGCTAAGGGAGCTAGCTCATGGAAATAAAAGGTTTGATCTTTGTGCAGAAGAGAGGGAAGTAAGTGATTTTGGATGAAAGCCCCTGGATTGGTCCTAGATCTAGTTCTAAGAAAATTTAGTGGGGCCAGTGAGAAGCCCTTGAATCGCAGTCACCATCAAAAGAGATCTATGCCTCCCAGGAACTGGCTTAGTTCCTGCTGTGGAACTTAGTATTCCTGCTGTGCTCAGTAATTAGTTGGCGGCAGTGAGTAGGAAGTGTAGCCTCAGCATAAATGCAGTGCTGGATTTCACAATGTAAGAGCTGGGGCCACTGATCAATTAGGTTCCCATAGTCAGATCTTGGAGGCATGGTGGTCACAATTTACTTTACATACATGGCTTAGGTCACTGGGGAATAACCTTGATGTAACACTAATTCACATCTCATCCATGTTGGGTATTGATTTTATCTACTGAAGACTTTTTAAAAACAGTTGTAGCTACTGTTTTTAAAGGATGGACAATTTCCACATGTATTTAACAGAGAAAAATTTGTTGATCTTAATTTTGTCTGTTTGGCCATACCCTCACTAACATTATAGGTACTTACAATCAGCAGTAATGGCCATTAGAATAAATATTAGCTTGCTGGGCGTGGTGGCTCATGCCTGTAATCCTAGCACTTTGGGAGGTCAAGGCAGGCAGACTGCCTGAGCTCAGGAGTTTGAGACCACCCTGGGCAACATGGTGAAACCCCATCTCCAGTAAAATACAAAAAATTAGCTGGGCGTGGTACCACACACCTGTAGTCCCAGCTACTCAGGAGGCTGAGGCAGGAGAATCGCATGAACCCAGGAGGCGAAGGTTGCAGTGAGCTGAGATTGTGCTATTGAACTCCAGCCTGGGCGACAGAGGAAGACTCTGTCTCTAAACAAAAAGGATAAATACTAGCAAAAAAGTTATTTGAATATATGGCATATGCGTGTATCTATATTTAATAAACAACATATAACTTCCTTTATCATTTTATGTGTATGCTAATTTATAAAAAATTCCACAGTCACTAATGAGCAGATGAGAATGTAATGATAATAAAATGCTTTATCAGGTTTTCACAACAGAGTCAAGGTAATTTTAAAAACACTTCTATTGAGTTAAAACTATGAAATCAAAATAATATGCCAAACACGTATGTTTTAAAATGTGTCCAACATTCACTGTATTTATAGTTCAACTTTAACTTTATAAAAAGAATCAAGCTTTTTTTTTTTCTTCTTTTCCTTTTTGTCACATAAAGCATGAATCAACTCTAATGAGGCCTCTGTGTTTGTATATCTGTCCACATGTGTAGGTGGTATGGTTTCAAAAGTGCATGTAGCCTTTAAAACTTTTTGGTAAAATTACTTCTGAGTTAATAATCACCTCTAGATTTCAAAAGTTACTTACATGTAAATATTGCTATTATTAATGGAACACAACATAAAGAGATGGCAACACTATGAAATAATTCATTTCCTTTTATTGCAGATAAAGATGGTGACAGTAGAGGAGATATGTTTGTGTTCTACAATTTATTGATGGTTTTAAGATTCACTGGTGTTTGGAGGCTATTTGTTTCTAATCTCAAGACTTCTGTGCTTATACATTCCTTTCTGACTTTTGGAATTCTGTTTCCTTCATTCTTTTTAGGACAACTGACTATGATTTACTACTGAAAATATGCCATTTTACTTTGCACAGCCCTGGAGAGAACAGCATGCTCCTAATATGGTCAGATTTGCACATGGTCATGGTGAATCTGAATATTTCCCATTAACTTGTGTGTTTCTTACTGTGTTATGTGTATCCTACTTTGCAATTATATTTTCATCTATAATGGGAAACACAGACTCTAACAGGCATTTAATTAAAAAACTGAAATGCTTTTACATTGGTATCATCTTGCTTTTTATTTTATGAAAATCAGTGCTAATGTTTTCATTATAAAGAGCAAATTAAAAAGCAAACTTTTTTAAAATAGGAAATTACCATTAAGTTTTAAGTGTTAGATTAGATAATTTTATTAAAAGTTAAAAAAGAATACTTTTTATTTTATATGAAATATACATTTTAATATTACTAAATTAACATTTATACATGATTTAATTTGAATAAAACTTTAGAAATATGAGACTTCCCAAAATTGTAAGGTAATTTTTAATAAAAATAATACTATCCCCTTCCAAAGTACTGGTTTTTACAAGAATATTTTAAGTAAGTGCAAATTTGCTGTTCTAATTTTGACACAACATACTTTGTGGATAGCATGAAAATAATCTTGATATATCAAAAGGAAATAAAATGTATTATTAGAGATTGTGATATTTTATACAAATTTCATTTTGAAACATTTGGGTTCAAGTTTAGTTCAATGCTAGAAAGACTATAAGAACCTTACTCATGATTCAGATGGTAAATAAAGGGATGGAGGCATTCACAGTCATCAGTCATTTCTCACATTTCTTTAAATATAAAAAAGTCTTCTTTTGCTGGTATTCAATTACTTCTGGACTAACAGATGCCTTTTGACTGTTCTCTGATAAAACCTCTGCTCTTCTTCATAATGAAAATCTTTTCTTTAGTTTTCTGTACATTTTTCTGGTTCAGGTTGCTCTTTCCCTACATGCTGCTCATTAAGGATTCTAATATTTAGGATTTGATGCCAATAGAATTATAAATGTGTACACAGAATGAATTGGCAAATCATGCCCATGCAGCTACTATGCTAACAAGTGAAGTTAAGTGCCCCTAAAGAGACAAGACAGAAGAAAAGTAGTAAGAACATATTGACAGAAGAGTGAAAATGATGTAACTTGGTTGTGGAGAGCTGCAAAGCAACAAGGGCATGAAAACTAACCAACTAAACAAATGGGGTGACTCATGACTCATTTTAAATAAAGAGGTTTTCCTTTGAGTTGATGATAATCTAGGTTGTGGTAAATTTGACCCAGCAATTAACATTATCCAGTACTACTTAATCAATGTATTCTGGATGAATGAATCAATTAGACAGTGAAAGGCAGTAGCAAGTCACACACACTCAGGCACACATAAATTTATGTGATATGAGAGTTGAATAGGTAAAAACTGCACACTTATTTAGTCATGTACATGTGTACACAAATTGTAATATGTTGCCAGTAGAGGTTACTTTCTCAGTTTACTCCATTTTTACTGGATGGGGTCTAGAGAGATATGAAATTAAGCAGCAAATTTATTTTTCTTAACAAAACCCCTTTGCAACTTCTTAAAATTTCAAAAAGAAGGCTAATTATTTAATTTTAAGTAAGAAATGTATACTGTAGTCTAAAAGAGTATTTTCTCAAAGAGGCTAAAGTGTCAAGAGGAGGAGACATGTTTGCTTTTGTAGTTGAACATATAATGAATTATGACTCCTTTAATGTGTATGGTTTCCTAAAATGTTTCTGTACACATGCAGGCACACATATGCTCATGCGTTTATTTATTTATTTATTTATTTATTTATTTATTTATTTATTTATGAGTTTTCAGTAAATTCTCTTTTAAACTTGTATTCTTCCAATTTACACATTTCTCAATAAGTTTTCTTCTTTTATATGATTCTTAACACTCACAAAGTAAGCAATACAATTTTGTTACTTGAACTGTAGCTCTTATTTCATCCTGGTTCTTTGATGCTCCTCCTCAATCTCCTCTCTGAAATCCTCTGGAATCCACCTGGCTTTACATACAGCCTAAATCTCTTGCCAGCTGAAAGAGAAGCATGTCCTCGAACTAATGATGCCATGTATTTATCGTCATCTTCCCATTATTAAATAAATAGTTCTTGAAAGCTCCTTTTACTGGCTGTGATAAATTTTCAGTTTTCATCCCAGGACAGCAAATCTGGCTTCAACTTCTCTGCCTGAAATTGTCCTTGCTAAAATCCCTGTTCATCTCTTGGTTAGCAATTCAATAATACCTTTACTTGGATAACTAGACTATTAGCTTCTACTTCCCTTGGTTGTCATTGTGATGTTGACGTGTAATTCTTTTCCTAGACTTTTATTCTTTTCTTTCTTTTATTTCATCAGTAAAGATGACTATGTTCTTAATCTCCGTATCTTTCACTACTACTTCTTGTCAACTTCCTTGCCAAGTGATTCCTTAAAATACTGAATTTAACAATTTCTTGGATTCTGGTTTTGACCTCTTCTAGTAATGTATCAAGAGTGGGAGGAGGGTAAATAGAAAAATTCTTCCTGGCATTTTATCAATGGCATTGTTTAGAATAGCTAGTGTGTGGTGATGTAAAAGCAGACAGACTTTAAGTGATTTTATTATTGTTTATAAAATCCATTACAGATAATGTACCCCCTTCAATGCTTGCATGCAGGGTAGACTGATAGTGTTATCCTGAGTCCTCTCCTGGGTATCTCTGTCCTATCCCCTTCACTCTACCCTTATTATCCTAGTCAATTTCTAGAGTTATAAATGTTTCTCACAATACTTCTGGTAGAGAAGTTTTTGTGACCTATATGTAGAGAGTGGTATACTGGCTGTTATGTTAGTGTTCCTCTATACATCATACCAGTGGCAAACATCTCTGCTTAAGTTCTCTGTCAGAATGCTACTAGTTAAATGGTCAAAATATTTGCTGATACATAGAAATGCTTCCCAATCCCTTGCCCAGGTAGGCCGCTATATCTAAAAGACTGGTATACATGTTGGTTCTCATATGCTACCCAATTATAATTGTCCCTTTTGGATTTCTTTCATTAGACCATCTTGCCTGTTGTGCTCCAACATTGCTTGTTGTCTTGAATTCTTTAGATTTAGTTAGGTCTGCTGAAGCCATCAGCACAGTCTGAATCTGGTTCATGGTCTCATTTTTGAAAAGATAATTTGCTTCAAAATTGTCTTGGGTTTTTTTCTTCATCTTGAATAACTCCACTACAACTTCCTAAGTTCTCCAACTGAGCCCAATTTAATCAAGAGGCACTGGCTTTAATTATTGAATCTGCAATTTATAAATTCACAGAGACTTTTTTTTTTTTTGAGACAGGATCTTACTCTGTTGCCCACACTGGAGTGAGGTAGTGCAACCGTAGCTCACTGTAACCTCGAACTCCTGGGCTCAAGTGATCCTCCCACCTCCACCTCCCAGGTATCTAGGACTACAGATGTGTGACACCATGCCCGCCTATTTTTCTTTGTTGTTGTTGAGACAGGGTCTCACTATGTTGCCCAGACTGGTCTCAAACTCTTAGCTTCAAGCAGTCCTCTAGCCTCAGTCTCCCAAAGTGCTGGGATAACAGCCGTGGGGCCACTGCACCTGACCGCAAGTTCACAGAGATTGTCTCCCCTTCTAAGTCAAATCCAACTGAAAATTGTCCTCACATCGAAGTCTATACCATCTTCTTTTATGAAGATTTTGCTTTGCCTGTAGATCTTATCTGGAGTGTGTGTTATTTTTTATCTTGGCTAAGAACTTTTCTTGAGAGCCTGAAGTAGATCAGAGTGGTTACAGCAGCAATAGGTAGAAGCCAAGGTCTGTCCATATTCCACGTTCACCTCTCTGGCCTTCCTGGTGGTTGAGGGCACACCCCAGAAACTTCTGGTGTCTTTGCAAACTCAGTTGGGCGGAATCAGATTTTCACTACCACTGCTGCTGATACAGCTTTCCACATACTGCCATCCCAGTCCCCTCTCTGTCCCTCTCCCCACACACTCAGTCTTTGCATGAAATATGAAGAGGCATATTTCATGAATTCTTTTCTTGAAACAAATTTTCATATGCAGTGGTATTCAGAAAGAGACAAAATGTAGATATGCAAAGTGTTTCCCTCTCCCTCCGGCCATCAAAGGAAAAGTCATTTCTTACAACCTGTTGGATCACAGGTATCTGTTGTTCAGAGAAGCATCATGGGCTAGTGGTGGATTGGACAATTCCCAAAGAATTTAAAGTGATTTGTATTTACACAATGCTACTTAAAGAAAAAAAAATCTCAGAAATTGTGGTGAAGTTACAACATTGTGGAAGGAGGGAAATCCAGAGGGGTTGGAGTTTGGAGGAAGAGACGCAGGGAGATTAGAATAGTAGGAATACTGTGTGAGGTATTGGGAAGACATGAGTCAGGATGCCTTACTTGCACTCTCTCATAGGATACTTCTTTTGCTGCCTCTTCAAAAGCCTTCACTGAAGACATATCACTTTGAAGAGCTTTTGAGTCAGATTTTTGTTTATTTTTAATATACTACTATTTGGGAATAGATCTTAATGTGGGGACAGAAGACTAAGTTTATTTTGGTTACATGCTTTTAACAACAATAAAATATTCAAATTCAATGCAAAATGATGCATTGTCTGAGTTCTTTTTTCTTTTTGTGCCCTATAGGTCTATGAGCAAATTTCTTGCATAGCTTCTCTATAATGAAAAAAAAATCCATATTTTAAGCTCATTTCTTTTCTTCCTGTCTGATACTAATCAAATTTTCTATTTCCACATCATCTTAGTACAAATGATCAACCTGATAATAAGCTAGTTAATTATTAATGAGAATATGACCATGTTTTCAACTATGATAGCTTTAGTGTAATTGTTTTTCAGTTCTGCAATTTGTGGACTTTCTACAACCCGTATAAATCTAAATTTTTAAAATAAAAACTTTCTCAGATAATATACATTTTGCATGCATATGCACATTTAAAATTCTGTATATTTCTTAGCTTGAATATTTCCATTCTTTTTATTGTATTTTTCTTCAAAAGCCCGGTATTGAGATTTTCTGATATTATAGCCTAGTATTAGACTTACTGTTATTGTTGTCTTGGTTGTAGTTAACAAAATAAAATTCCATATTTCCTAACCAACAGCTTATTTACAGGCCCATACATACCCACATTTACTGGTATAATATGTAAACTGATCTCCTCTCTTTCACATTCCTGAGTTTAATTAACTTTAAAATAACCAGTCTAGAAGGCTATGTTGTCATGTTAAATATCAATATTTTAATATATTCAAATCAGCAAATGAACAATATATACTAAATATGTATCTTACTATGAAATTGCATTTGAATTATATATGTGAGATTACTATCATGTTTTATGAACCACTGATTTCTACAGTTAGATGACTTTATGAGCAATTATTACAATCACAAGTGGCATTTATATAACTAGCAATAATATTACTGGAATTAAACTTTACCCATCACATATGTACAAAAGAAACCTTGGGGATATGTAGAATCCCTTAATAAGAAGAGAAAATAACCACACTGGAGTCTGTATATATGGCATTATTACTAATGAGAGAAGATGAAACAGTATAGGAATATTAATAGAACTATTAATAGAGAGACTGGAAACTCAAAATACAGATTGTAAATAGGATATTACAGGAATGTTAATAACACTTGGCAGCAAGGACTCTTTCAATGAGAAGGTGTGTGAATTCCACAGGATAATTCTGAATGGGATGAAAGGGCTCTACAAATGTTTTCAGAGAAGAAAACCTATTGTTCATTCAGACCCATAAATGACTAAAGGGAAGTATTTGCCATATTCTGTGTGCATTTAGCTCTGAGAAACTTTTAAAAATCTGTTTGCATGCTGGTAATAGAAACCAATGAAGCATCTTCCACTAGGAGGGTCATAGAGCACAGCAGAAGTAAAATGAAGTAAAGTTCCCTCTCTGCCAAGCAATGGTTCAGGCTTTTTGTAAAAGAATAGTCTACATATTGTTTCCATGATAATGAAGGACAAGAAAGTCTAAGAAAAAATTAATTGGCAAGGCCTACCCATCCATTTAGTAAATAAATACCATGAATCCTCATTGCAATAAATTTTCAAATTATAAAATGGATGTCTTGCCCAGATACTTAAAACCAATGACCAGTATAAGCATCATGTCTCTGAAAAAAAGAAAAAGACAAGATGAAAGGAGGGAGAGAGGTGGGGAGGGAGGGAGGCAAGGGGAGAGAAGGAAGGAAGGAGGGAGGGAGGGAGGGATAATATGCTTTCCTTTATTAATCAAGTTATATATACATTATTATATATGTATGTATGTGTATATATAAATTATAACTATATATAATGTATAATTATAAATTATATAATATATATAACTGCCCACCATCAGTTTCCCTTTCTCCCCAACCTCCATTCAATCCTCATCATTTAGTGCTGTCTACAGAGTCTTGAACTCATTATCTTTCTGAGCTCTGTGGGACCTTGCCCATTTTTCATTTTTCCTCGCCTCCTGCTCAGATGACCAGAAGAGTGCCAGTCTTTGATTAATGACAATGAAGGAAGACTTTGGGCAGAAAAAGGAACCTGGCCAAATTGGAGAAGCAAGCATAGGACACACAGCAGACTGGTGAGGAACTGTGGGAAGAGCAGACAGCTCCAGGAGGAGCTGAGAATGCAGGGCTTGTAATGGATTGAACTGGCTCTCCAGAAGCAAAGATCTCTGAAATTAAATCCTGGCATGTAACTTTCTATGTATGTGTGGTAAAGCTGCTTAGCTCTGCAAGTTATAGCTCCCTAACTCTAATATTGTGAGAAAATATATATATATACACATATATATAAATGTAAACAGTGATTTTTGAGGTATTTAGTTATGCAGCAATAGCATACAGCTTTCTCTACTATTTGTGTGTTTATGGCTGTCATATTTATATATCTCCAGCCTCCACCTCTTCACTGAATGTCAGACTTGTTTATTTTACCACCACTTATGTGACATAGCCTCTTAGCTGCCTAATAGCTAACACAAACTTGATGTATAAAAACTGAGCTCCTGAACATTCTTTCCAAAGGGTTGAGCTACTCAGTCAGAAGAAAGCCTACTATGCTCAAAACTCTTCAGGGCTTCCCAACTCACTCAGGATAAAATACATAGTCTTTATAGTAACTTCCGAATTTTCTTTCTGTCGTCATCCCTTCAATTACCCCAAACCACAATACTCACTCTTATTAAACTAAACCTGCCTCCTCTATATTTCTAGGAAAAAACTAGGGAGGTCCCTGCCTCAGATAGTTTTTTAACCCTGTTTCCTCTACCTAGAATATTATTTTCCTTATATCCACATGGATTTTTCCCTCACTGTCTGTTTAAATACAACCTTCTATGGCAACTCTAGATAAAATTTCAACAATGTCTTTTCTACCTATTTCAATACTACCAACATCCTTCCCTACTTCAGCATTTATGACCATACACACACACACACACACACACACACACACACTTATGTTTCATGTTTCACTTACTTATTACATATATGACTGACAGCCCTACTAGGATATAAGCTCTATTACAGTGGGCACTTTTTTTCCACTTCTTTTTTTCAGTATTTTATTCTTAGCCCTGAGAACAGTGCCTAGCACAAAGTAGGCACTCTAATTTTTATTGAATCTAAAAAAAAGATCATAATTAAAAGTTTTACTTTAAAATCATGTTCAATAAAAGACATAATTGATTTATGTATAATTGAAACAAACGATCCATCCTCTGGATAGGTTTCAGTCACCTAGACATACTTGTAGGATAAAGCAGTTTTCTTTTCCATCTGGCAACATTGTCCTAGTGTTGTTAAAAACACACTTAGAAAGGACCAGAAAGAATCAGACGCTTCCCATCCTGAAATAAGCCAAGGGCATTATTTATTATAAGGCCAAACTTTTAATATGTTTGTGAGCAATACAAACCTGCTTTGTACTGGTTAGATACGAACTTTATAGTAGACAGAGTTCAGAAACACATGAAAGGCAAGACATTGGAAGAAGAGATAAATGGCTTTTCTAGAAAATCTTCAGGATAAACAGATCTGGCTCACTGAAGGCAACATGAGAACATACAGAGGTGCATGGAATTCTTCAGGCATTTCAAAGGTAATCCAACCATCTATCCCAAGAGACAGCATAATTTAAGTTATCTGTAACCAGATTAAATTGTGCTTCTTGAGGCTGCTCATGCTTGTCAATTTAGTGATAAGCTGGAATTTGGCCTACAGGTAGTGTCCATAATTTACCTTGTATTCCAGGTGAGTTGAGAACAAAGAGAAAAGTGGTGTTGGGCAGCCAGTAAGGGAAAAAAATATCAGTCCAAATAAAAGAAAAGTTACATTCAAAAATGAAAATTAGTACAAGCACATGTAAGATACCATTTACAAGTAAAAGGTAATGATCTTGTAAATATTTTCTACATTTCTAATGTTTTCTTGGACATAACATATGAACCACTTCAGTGTCTGGGCATTACTATCATGCTTACCATGAATTGCAGCAGGACCCTGTCTTGTATTCCCCAAGTCAATGAAGCTGGGAACTTGTTGAACTTCAGCTTGAAGTCTGGCACCCAGACCTAGAGGCATGAACTTAGTTCAGCCAATCTTATGTTCCCATCTGGGACCTAGGGACCTAGAACATCATATTGGTGATTCAAATAGAGGCATTTCTAAAAATTATTAAAATATGATGCTGGTGGCATCCAGCATCTACTGGCAGCAGTTCTGGGGGTAGCATCAGTATCCAGCATCTTTACTGGTGGTGCCCTAACCAAACTGTTCTATTGATATGTACATGGCTGTGTTTCCAGCTGTCTAGTTTCCATTTAGCCTCCTTGACCCACCCTTAGTTTTTTGGAGCATGGTTCTAAGTTCTGTGTTATTTCTGTGAGCTACATAACTAGCTTCCAATAAAACCATTTATGCTTAAATTAAAACAAGTACACATCTTTTGTTTAGTACCAATATTTCCACTGGTTATGATTGCGTAGGTGTGGAAATCATTTCCTCCTGTAGAAAATACGTATTTGGTGAGACACTTCATTTTATATATATACTACATGGCTTACCAGTGAATAAGTTTATAGTTTGAAATAAAGTATAATATAAAAAATAAATAAGAAAAGAGAATATTGAAATTTTTAAGAGGGAACATCAGATCAATGAAACAGCCGCCCATATCCATGTTACTGGAGCGTGAAACAGGAAAATACTGCAATGAGAAAGTGTTTAAAGCCACGAGGCCCTTAAAATCTCATACAGAAACTGAAAAGGGAAAACCTGAGGGTAAAAAGCATGCAAGCCTTGAAATTGAAACCGAAGGAGACAACCCAAAGGCAACATTCACTGGAGCCTGGATGATCGGTCTGAAGGAATAGAGGGAGCCTGAAGGCAAAAATGCATTCAGAACCAACAGTGAGTTTGAAAGGGTCCCTTCAGGGCAAGACTCATTCTGGTTCTGACAATAAGTTAGAATGGACTAAGCTTAGGGGCAGCATGCATTTGGGAAAAATAAGCAGATATCTAGAGGCAGTGTACTTTTTTTATAAAATGATTATGAATATGATTGGTAAGAGCTGGGATATGGCAAGCATTAAAATGTACACCATACAGCTTATGAGAAAATTAGATATTGAAAGAGAAAAGGAGAAAATGGGATTGTCAGGGGTCAGCACATACTGATAAAACCTGCACTGAGTGTAGCATTGTCAGCCAAAGCCAATGGGCACGTCTCCTCAATCAGTTTATATTAAGACTTATTGACTGACCTGACTATTTTCATAGTGTAAAAAAATTCTAGGAAATAAGAGTAAATTGTACTCAGTTAATTATATTGAGTTGGTCATTGACATTAGAGAAATCTCTTTCTTGTTTAGAGGAATAACATAAAATTTGGATATCTTAAATTAGTCAGGCATAATAGTAAGATTCCAATATCCTCTTAAGTAATAAACATCTCAGATATTACAAACTGACAAATGTGAGCTGTATTAAAACAATTTCATTGCCACTCATAGTTATATTTGTTCTCTGTGAAGCTTTCACTGGCTATAGAGCATAATGGGATTACTGACTAAAACTGACTAAAACTATGTTTTATCAGTAGCCCTCAAAGTGTCTTCACAGATCAGTAACATTAGCATCACGTAAATGGAAATTCTAGGGACCTAGCCCAGATATTTTGAATTCTGGGAATAGGGCATAGAAATATGTGTTTTAATAAGCCTTCTAGGTAATTACGATTTAAAGTTCTAGAATTACTGGTCTACATTAGAATTAGCATGACTCACATTCCAGAAAATTTTTAGCTTAGGAAGATGAATTTGCAAATAATTTTTGTTTAACGAACTTCCTAACACTCATCTGAACAATAAACTGAGCACTTAAATCCTAATATGAATTGTATTATCTTTTTTAGAAAAACATATTATTCAAGTCGACTTATCAATGATTTAAGGTGCCTTTCAATACACCTATGAATACCCTACCCCTTGAGCCTTCTACTTGGGGATCTCTGACCATGGTGATGAGGTAAGTCTTCCATTGGATTTGAGCTTATACTTTTTTTGTCAAATTTCCCAATGCTTCTAGGAAAGAAGATAAGTTTTTAAGGAATACTTGGATTAGCTTGTACTAATCCAAGCTAAGGATTAAGGAACGCTTTGGAAAAGTTTTAAGGAACACTTTGGAAAGCCTTCATCTTTGTGGAATACTGCTTTATTGCCAACAATAGTACTATTTAACTCTGCCTATGTTCTTCGTTTCCTACAAGTGTAAGTCCATATAGAGAAGAGGGCAGACATAGGTTCCTATAAGTTTGTTTTTGAGTCAGCTTCGAATGGCCAATGAGTTCAAAGTAAGGCCCGCTGAATCAGCCTCTTCATAAGACAAATGTTGTGTTACATCTCATATCAAAAACCTTGAGAGCTTTTTTTTTCTCTCTGTGAAAGTCTGGTTTGAGAGAAATCTTCTCTTCAAACAGCCACCCAGCCCTTCAGGAAACACCAGATTACCAGGTTTGTCATGAACAGCCAGCCATTAGGTTGAGGGCTAAAGACAAGTTGCACAAGCAATAAGTTGTGATTCCAGACTCTCAAGGGTTTGTCCCAGTCCTAGTTCTTGCATCCTGAAGACTAAACTCCTGCATCTTACATGTATTTATATTAATATCCAAATATTTGTATTTATTTATTTTCTAAATGGCATGCTTTCCAAGGATAACAGAATTACAGCGGCCACTTGAGGAACTTCAGATACAGCAAAATTATTCATCTAAAAAGTACATTAGAATAAGATGGAACAAACATCCAATATCTGCTTATTTGATTGATATATTATTTTGGAGGGAATGAGGAAGTTTCCAACAGAAATATAGGATCCAAAATTACTTTCTTAAAATATTCCTTGGATAAGGCAAATAAAAAAATTTCAAAACTTAAAACTCTCACTTAGGTGCTCCCAAATCACAACTTAAGCCTAATGGTTTTATCTTGTTAGGCTTCTGCCCTCATTATATCATCCTCTATTACCTGCTGCCCTTGCTCCTCTTTCTGACCTGTTTTACTTCTATTGTGACCATTCAGAAACTCCCAAAGTTCAATTACATCTTAAACACCCTTCAGAAAAGGGAAATATCCTTGTGGCAAAAACTTTACAAAATCAAAGACAACAAAGAGAAGTAGAGAAAACAATTTGGAATAATTCAAAGAATCTATAGACCAGGGATCCCACAGCTGTATCAATCAGCTCATATGTTCCAAGAAACCTCAGATGTGAATGCAAAAAAAGAAAAAAACATATATATTGAAAAGACAGAATAAGAAGATCCAGAAGATGACTTAAAAGACCCAAAGTTGCATAAGACCCCAGAAGAATTTAGAAAAAGAATGTACATTTGGCATGACTGTTTAGTTGTTATTTTTTTCTTTCCTATGAAAGTCGATTGAACTTGATTTCAGGCTATCAGCAAAAAATTAGTTCACTGGAGAATTTAGGAGTAGGCTCTTCAAAAACTTTTGACATATAGGAGTAGATTCTAAACAGAAATAATCTCAGCTCTGTCATTACTTTTTTAGAATGACCATATGCCACAAATAGAGGCTTCAAAGCATAGCAAATTGGTCCTAAACTTTTTGTCACACAAATAGAAAGATTATTGTACATTGACTAAATGTATTGGCACATAAGAGGGAGTAGAGGTGGGGTCATAGAGGAATATTAGTCTAAAAGTAGGATGACGGGCCCTGTATGTCAAGCTCTGGAGCTGAGATTTCACTGTGTACTAGAGTCAAATTTTAATAAAGTTTAATTTGTAGTTGCTGCAATTGTGGTATGTAAGATATCATTAGATATAAGAATTAGAAAAGTTTCTTTTATTATAGCATTACAGACAGATTGAAAAAGTCTGAGACTAGGCTCACAGAACACATAGAATCAACATGACTCAGGAACATTCCCCCTAAATTATCATCATGTCTATTACATGTATCAATACTTTCCACTCTTCATCCAAGTCAACCCATCCAACATGTAACCACTAGATGTCTTTCAGAGGTGAGAGTTTGGCCACATTAACTACTCTTTCAAAAATGTTCCCAATTTATTAGCACTTTAATGAAATTAAAACTCCTAAAAATACAGTCATGTTTCACGAAATGATAGGGATATGTTCTTAGAAATGCATTAAGCAATTTCAGTGTTGTATGCACAAACCTAAATCTTATACACTATTATGTACCTGCGCTATATAGCCTATTGCTCCTGGGCCACAAAACTGAACAGCATGTTACTGTACCGAATACTGTAGACAGTTATAACACATTAAGTATTTGTATTATAATAAAATATACCTAGACATAGAAAAAGCACAATAAAAATAGCACGTTATAATCTTATGGGATGACCATATATATGTGGTCTGTCATTGGCTGAAATGTTACATGGAGCATAGCTGTACTTTTCAAGATTTTTTACCATTTTGCTCAGCAAAGTTCATGCATTTATACCATGTATGTTATCTCTCTGTGTGTATATATATGTAAACATATGTTACATATACACACACATTTATACCATTAATATGTAACATGCATACAATATCCTTACATATAACCATACATCTCCCAGTCAATATCATACACTTTGTTCTGCCATGCTAAACCACTATTTACAACTTCACAACTGCCTTAGCATAACTACTCTTGCCAAATTCTGTGCCTTTGTTTATTGTATTTTCTCTACTGAACTACACTTTCTTTAATCTTCAACATTAAAATGTAATTCATCCTTTAAGAATAGTCAGAGCTAACTATTCCCATTATGCTTCTCTAACACTCCTAGTGATAATATATTGTTTCCCTATTATTGTGGGACTACTTCTATCATGGCTTGCCTGTCCACTACGAGTTCTGAAAGAATAAACACTTCCTTATGTCTTTATATAAACTACAATCCCTGAAAAAAGAGACTACTTCTTAGTACACTTCGATGAATTAATGAATCAAGAGCAAACGGATGGATTGACTGATACCTAATCATTTGTGTAAAGTTTTCCTTCTCTCCTTCATTAGATGATAAGTCAGTGATTCTCTCAGCAAATATTTTACTTCTTATGTAATGGTTTCCTTACAATACACAGTACAATGCTCTCAACGCAGTGGGTAATCAATACCTGCTGTTGACTGTTGAAGTAAAATAAATTTACAAAAATAAACCAAGCTTGTTTCTAGTAATGGAAGTCCCCTTGGTGATTTTTGTCATGTAAAATGAAATCACCGCAGAAAAATTTATGAATGATATGCTGAGTATCCCAAATAAATGCTGTACTTTCAGACATAAGCACCATTGGCTGCAGTCGTTATAGATAATGAAAATTAAGCAGGTCTCAAAGGGGAGAAAATTTTGGATGGCATTAACGATTCAGTTATTTGCTTCTTTTCCTTTGGGACCAACTAAACTGATGCCATTACATTGAATTAAACTAAGTTGTAAAATTAGAAATGCCTTTCTTGAAATACATTATAAAAAGAAGATCCACCTTATAATTAGAAAGGATAATATGATGAGGGAGAAAAGTACACATCTCCTGAAACAGCTTCTAGTAATGTGGTTGAAGTCAGCAAATTATTAATTTGCTAAATTATAGGGATTCTTTTACTTCCTCTTCCTATAAGTAATTTGGCCATGTTAATTGATGCTATTCTGAACTTGAGGCTGATACAACTCAAATAATGCAAGTATTATGTAATATACATGTATGCTTATGATGATATTAATATACACATTAATACGCAAATACATATGTAGGACATTAATGTATACATATGCATACATAATAGTAACATACATAATAATTGTTATAGACTGAGCTGAATTTAAAAGAGCAAGCTGTAGTTAAAAACATGCTGTGATTAACATCTTAAATCGGAAAAGTATTATTGTATATGAAAACATATATTCAATTTTTCAATTATGTGTTTATTTGTTGAGGAAAAAAATGAAAATTCTGAAACTCTAAGAAGCCCCTAAAAATTGTAAGTTGCTAAATATATGTAATGCATAAACAATAGTAACTATGTGAGTAACTCTTAGAAATATATTCGGTTACCATTAAAGAGTTTATTTTTTCAACAAACATGGTAAATACCTTAACCTGAATGTGTACACTTGTATATTACTTTTGGATTTAGTCTTTCAATTTAAAAAGAAATCTTTATTTCCTTAAAGTATGGCTTTTTGTTCTCCAGGTTTTTTTCTATTTGAAATATTTACTTTGATATTGGAGAATTTTTTTCTGACAAATACTAATATTAATAGTTAATGTAAATAAAGAATATGACATTCTCTACCAAATTTTAAAAGTTCATATATTTCAAATGATAAACCAGTTATAAATTTCTTTTGCACTTCTTTTTTCTTTACCCTAAAACATAAACAAATCCACAAATCACTTTAGTTTGCCTTTCAAATTATATTATGTAAAATAGACATTCTTCTCATAGTCTCATTTTCTACTTTTCTTTCTACTGAAGTGTCAGTCAATACATTTCATCAGGAAGATGTTTTGTTTGGCAGTAATTCTCGATACTCAAGAATTTATGGAAGTAATCACAGTCTGAAAGAATGTGTTTCTACTAGCTGTACTGCAATGGGTTCCGGATTTCCAATTTACAAGTTTTAAATTAATGGCTGTTTGCTATAAAACAAAAAGTAGTTATCATAGAAACTAATTCATTGCATAATACTCTCACCATCAACTAGATTCACAACATCACCCACTCTTTGGAAATAAAATTAGAAATAGAACAAGCAAGACTTTATTCTTTCCTTTTTAAATTGGAAAACATGGAAAATAGAGATGATCAGAGTCATGTAAGGCTGTAACAAAATAAAAATATAAAATATTTGATTTTCAGTCCTTTTTTTACCAGTGCTGTATAGACAATTGACAATAGGGATATACAGGAGCCCAAATATATATAAGTCAAGTGCAGTCAGCCAGTGGTAGCTACGGGTTACACATCTGTGGATTCACCCAACTGTGGATGCAGAAACCATGGATGTGAAAGGCTGACTGGAGTACTTGAACTTCTCCTGAGTTTGGTTTCCATTGCTGGGGAGGGTCCTGGAAGCAATCTTCCATGGATACCTAGAGATGACTGGGATTTGAAAAAAATTATTATTACTTTGCTTCTGTTCTCTCACTTTCTGTTCTTTATCTGGAGAATTTTTTAAACGTTTATTTATTTCATGTAGCTTCCCATCCTGCAATGATGAATAGATTTTTGTTATATGTCTGGAGTAACTAGCACATGAAGGAATTAGGGTAACCATGGACTGTAGTTAATAAAGAAGAATATATTAGTTTCAGTCCTGTTTCAAAAAGTAGCAGAATTTCTATGAAAATCTGAAATTTGTATATTTACTTTTCTGTTTTATCTACCTAACTCAGGTAAATATGCAAATGAAGTTAAGTCAATTGCTACAATTACGTCAATTGCTCAAGTTAAATTAATTTCACAAGTCAACTTCAATTTATTAAGTAATGCAGGTCATTATAGATAAGGAAAGTCAGGTGCAAAGAATATAAATTGTACAAATGGAAGCACTGAATTTTGAACCCAGGTGATTTGGCTCCAGTATTAATATTCTTAACCCATATGTTTTACTACTTAGAACAGGCATGGCATATACTATACCATGTTTCCCAATTCTCTCCCAGGAAGGGTAGAGGGATTGAACGACACAGCAGCAGAAGCAGCAACCAAAATTTAAATTAACTATAAGTTTATATGAAATTAACAGTATTTTCAAGGCTGTAGTCATGGATTGTTAATCCAACTTTGTCCATGAAAACACACTAAGGAAAATTGAAGGCGAAGCCATTTCTGGTGCATTTCAGCAGAATAGAAACCATTTTTACCTAAGATGTGGGCTTAAGATGTAAGAAATGCCAAAATGGCAGTATTCATTTCACTGGATTAAGGTCCTCTTGAATTTCTTGTCTAAACAATACAGAATTTCGTGGTGTACCCCTCATTAGTCAGAAACTGGCTTTGCCAAACTGAAACTGTAGCATAATGTAGTTTGGTAATAGTTGAAAAACTAAAAGTTTCACATGATGCACTATGACTTAGAAAGGCACCAGAAAAATACACTTCAGGTGAAAAGTATGAATAATCAATATGTATCAATTCCCTAGCCAATAATTTATTTTATAACTAATTAATGTGAAAACATTTAAATGAAGATACTGGGTAATATTTTTGCTATGTGAAAATTTATATGAAGTAATTTCTGAAAATAGAGAAATACTGGGGGAAAATGAATCATTTGGATATTGATTTTTTCCCTTAAGGTTGATTAATGTGCTTTTTGTTTTGTTTGCAGTGATTGATGCCATAGCATTTTAATGTGACATCACCATTGTACTGAGATACCCTTGTTCTGTCTTAGGTTGCACATTAGTTCCTAAACCTATTTAGTGCAGATCTTAAAGTTACTCCATTGAGTTAGTATTTTGGGTCACCTTGGACTTTACCTATAAGCTGATGTCACAGTCTGATTTACTATCATTTAAAGACTTTGTGCATTGACTGTGAACTCATCTAAACAAAAAGAAAAAGTTATTCCAAAATGCTTTAAATAGGATGCCATGATTTTTTTTTAAGCTTTAGAGTATATACGTCTGTGAATCAGCTCATTTTATTTCCAATTATATTTTGGAAAAAAATAAAATATACTGCTTTTTTTCATGAAAAGAAATGAAAAAAGAATTAACTTTCCATACACATTTTGAAAATATGTTAGATACATTTAACATAACTGCACAAATCATGTAAAAGTCCCATAAACTGTACTCCTTCAAGAGTACAAGTCAATTTGCACAACTATTGAAAGTTAAAATAATTGTATAAAAATATATGTAAATGCTGCCATATTTGACACAGGAGTCACAGGATACTTGTTTAATTTGTATATGAGCTGTGAAAATGTCAGTCCGTGCTATCATTTGTGGAGGTGTTAATTTAGGCATTTTGAAGATCTGTTCTGATTAATAGAGTAAAATCTCATATACTGAAAAGTAGACCAGTTGATTCCATTAATAACGAGTTATTTTCAGTGCTCAGATGGCTGAATTTATCGATGAACTTTTACCAGATTAATTGCTGGAAACTGATGTCCACATGATTATTGTAACAAAATGTTATATACTTACTTTTGGAGCTCTTAGAAGACTGTTAAATTATCTATTTATTTTACATACAATGTTAGTTACAATTTATATTTTATAATTTCAATTTAAATGCCCTTATTTTGAAAGACACACGCCATACACATACACTTTTTTGGTTTTTTTTTTTTTTTGCCAAAATTCAATAAGATCAGTGTTGCATATTACCATTTCTCAATACTGATAATTTTATAACACATCTATTTCACATGTGCAGAAAGAAGTTAGAGTAGAAGACTAGAATATAAAAGGCTATGAAGATAGTAAGTTCTTAATATGTAAATATTGGCTGTTATTGATTTTGTTACTTTTTGGTTTCAAATATACTGAAAAACATTTTGATATTTACTCATATTCTTCTTGTTTTGGTTAATCACTTAAAAATGGATAATCATTGCCATGTTTAAAATGACAAAATTCATACTTTCTCTCTCTCTTACCAACATGTTAAAAAGATAGATGGACACAGCAGAATTATACTGTTTTAATAAAAAATGTATATTATAAATATAATGAATAAACTTTAACACGAAGTAACTTTTAAAAATGTTTCTTTTTCCTAATTCACTTCAATTTTATGAAATCATTTCTGAGATAAAATAAGGGACTTCGTCAATTATACATGAGACTTTATCTTAAAATGCTAAACTCCAGTTAAGCCTGACAATTTATAATATAGCAATGGGCAAGTTATATTTATTGCATTATTAGTAAGATGTTTGAGTATTCTTATTTGCAATATTGCATTATTAGTAAGACATTTGAGTTTCCTTATTTGTATTATGTAGTATTACTACTTTTCTAGTACATATCCTGCCTGTGTAAGATATTTTCTTGAATTGATGAAAAAACTAAAATAAATAAACAAAAACCTCATGAAGATATTATACCTTTCTCGGCTTAAATTCCTAGCTAGAGTGCTGAGAAAATGACTCTCTTGTACCACCCAGTGAGTAAACTGGTAAATAATTTATAAACAATGTATCATAAAGGAGTTTTATGAAACAGGTAACAAAATCTATAAATACTATATATTTTTCAAGAAAAGGACTGCAGACAAGTTTTATTTATAATGTACACTATTTTTCTAATATCCTATATTTATAGTATTTTTCTAGCATCCCACAGTGAACACTTACAGTCCCTAAATGTGTATTTCTTAGACTTTTCTTTTTTGAGACTGGGTCTCGCTGTGTCACCCAGGCTGGAGTGCAGTGGCTCAATCTTGGCTCACCGCAACCTCCACCTCCTGGGTTCAAGCGATTCTCAGGCATCAGCCTCCCAAGTAGCTGGGATTACAGGTGTGCACCACCACACCCAGATTTTTTTTTGTATTTTTAGTAGAGATGGGGTTTTGCCATGTCGCCCAGTCTGGTCTCGCACCCCTGGGCCCAAGCAATCCACCCACCTTGGCCTCTCAAAGTGCTGGAATTACAGGCGTGAGCCACCGCACCAGGTCTCACTCCTTAGACTTTTGCAAGTTACAGGTCTCTATACACAGAGTTATTTACCTGGGTACATATTCCATTTATGTCCACTACTGGCTGTAGGCTATCCTGGAATAATAACTTGACTGACAGCAGCTTGATTTATTCTCACCTGCTACTCAAGACTCTACCTTGGTTTTGAAGTGTTTATTAGGTGAGACCTACTCACCTACGGCAGAGTAGTTTTACATCCATGTTACCACTGGTTTTCAATGGGTTATTTGCCCAGTGAGATTTCTTTAAATTATGTTAAATGTAATCAGCTTGTTTACTAAGTATTACTTCCTTTACATTAGTCAATCCTGTTATTGAACACCCCGATGCTTAAAGTTTTGCAATCTATTAAGATTAGGAGTAATGATACTTCTATCTGGCAATAATCCTGAGATATATGATGAAAATGCATAGCATACTTCAAAAAATTGTCCTCAGTTCTGAAATGGCTTTTAGAACTTCTCATGTAGAAAGCTAAAGTAAAATCTTTTGTAATTTATTGCAGTTCTCATTTGCCAATAAAGTTTGTACATACAGATACAACTATATTAATTTGCTCAGGTAATGTATTTTATGGGACCAGATGAAAAACATGCTTTCGTAGATGCTCATTTGCACACAGATTAGAAAAGAGTGCATAATTTTAAGTTAGCTTTGAGAATTAAATGTGATGTTGCATAAAATGTTTTTAGCATGCTATCAGGCATGCAGTCAATAAGTATTATTTGTGTGCTGTTTGATATATGTATAATTATTTCACCTAATGTTTAATAAATGCTTTACTTGTAATTGAAATCAAAAGATTTAAAATCACATAATATAAAGGAAGTATCACTCTGGGATTAAAATGATTTTATCTTCCTTCTTAGATGTGGCATACTAACTTGTTCACACCCTACATGGGATGCATCCTGACTGTATCAATCATTCTTTAGCACTTCAAAATAATCATTACTAATACTTATTTAGTGTTTTCTATATGCCAGGTATTTCATGGGCTTTGCATAGCACCTAATCTTCACAATAACATCATGCAATAAGTAGTATTATCATTTTATACATGAGGAGACTGAGGTACAGAAAGGTGGAATAACTACACCAGGAGAGTAAGTGGTAAAGTTGGGTTTTGTACTCAGGCAACTTGTTTGTTCACTATGTTGTGCTGTCTCTCCTAATAACATTGATAGTAGAGAGACCGTGTAAAATTTCCCCATAAGAGTTTCCTTATATTTGCATTATTATCATCCTATCAGGACCTGACACTTTATAGAGGACCCGACACTTTACAGAGGACCCTGCTTTGGCTTTTCTCTAGCCACGCCCCACCCCTCGGGAAAAGGATTTTGACAGCCAACGAGAATTATCCATGCCAAGTCTGCTCTAGAACATATGTAGAACACTTGGATCTCAGAATTCTGTGGCAAAATGATCCAAGGCCTGTCAACAGGGCCTGCATAGGTAGGCCTCTTTACTTGGTCCATCTCTGTGGCTGGACTGCTGTGTATACTTGTAGGTTGGAGTGGTAAAGAAGATGTGGAAGAGGTGAATGGAGCTTGGAAATGAGGACTAGACTGCTCATTTTTGTGCACAAAGCCCTTTTTGGTGTTGTAAATAAGATGGGCGGGCTGCAGATTAGAGACAGGGACCTGGAGCCAGCTTCTTCCAGATTTCACATTTTCGTACCAAAATAAAAGGAGTTAGAAAATTCCAAATTCACAACTGGCTTTTTGGGACTTATAAAGGGATAGTTACCAAAGTTGGAGAATAGAATTTTGTTAGCTTAGTTTATAATTTTTTAATACTTAGATATGATTTGCAGGCTACTATATATATTCTTGTCCCAGACCCCACAAATGTTAGAGGAAGGCCTGGTTTTCATGCATGTAATAATCTTTTATGTGCAATATCTCATAATAGAATTTGATTGTTACTTCATGTTCTTTACCTACTAGGTCTAAGAAAGCCTATTTTTTCCCCTCTGCAGTGCATATTGTTAAATTAACACTTTAAGAGAGACCATAGAACATAATGGGGATTTAGTTCATTTTGTTGACTGAATAACCAGTGGACTACATTTAGGCATATTAACATAATTCTCTCACACTGTCTCATTTAACATCGAACATCCACGGAGCTGAAATGGTCACATGAAATAGTATATTACAGAGGCCAGGCTACTACAGGTGGCATTCTGAATCAATGCTGGCAGAATTTCTAGATTCTGAGATATTTAGTTAATGCCGTCTAATATCCTAAATTATATCCTCTATGTCTTTAAACTGAGACTGTCTTAATTTTGTTATGTGTCAGAGTGGTATGAGTAGAAAAATTTGAATGTGAATAATACTTAATATTAGCAAATTATGATGATTCACTCAATATCTATAAAGGAAGTTTAGCATTTTTTAAGTTAATGGCACTACAGAAGTAAATGCTAACACATAAGCCACTTTTTCGAATAGGAAGCTCCCTGTAGTCTATTTTCATTAATGGCAAATAGCCATTCCTCAATTATAAGGCATTATATATTCTACTGTTATTCGGTTAAGTATATCCCACCAGATCTTTGATTGTGCAAGTTCTAATTATTCTTTTTTTTTATTATACTTTAAGTTTTAGGGTACATGTGCACATTGTGCAGGTTAGTTACATATGTATACATGTGCCATGCTGGTGCGCTGCACCCACTAACTCACATGGACACAGGAAGGGGAATATCACACTCTGGGGACTGTGGTGGGGTGGGGGGAGGGGGGAGGGATAGCATTGGGAGATATACCTAATGCTAGATGACGAGTTCTAATTATTCTAATATGATAAACTAATGAAATTTAGAAGTTAATTTTTATGGCACTTTTGTTTTAAACCTCTAATTCTTAACAAAATTCTAAAAAATGAGCTTTGCGAATGTTGTTTAAAAAACATATTTTCTTCCTGCAACTCCTTTCCTAATATTTACTCTTTATTTTCTTATAAGGATAGGAACGGCTTTAGCAGAATTAATCCAAGGTCCAGGGGATATCTCTATAAAAGAATGGAAGGTGAATGGTCAAGATAATTTGAGCCTGACAACAAAGAGAGCTATAGATCTTGAGAAATTTAAATTAAAATGTAAATGTATGAGAAGGATTGCAGTCCCTAGGAGTTAAAGTAGCATGCTACAGAGATCAATGAAAACGTGAATTCTTCAGTTACTGGAGCTGTACGTTAAACACCTGTCCCAGACTGCGTCTATGCTCATCCACATTCATTCATTCATTCAATAAGTATTTATCGAGTGCCCACTGAATTCCAGGCATTGTACTGCTTGCTAAATACATGAAATAAGAGTTGAATTCTTAGAGTTTAAAGAAGGGAGGTGGCCGGGCGCGGTGGCTCACGCCTGTAATCCCAACAATTTGAGAGGCCGAGACAGGCAGATCACAAGGTCAGAAGGTCGAGACCATCCTGGCTAACACAGTGAAACCCCGTCTCTACTGAAAATACAAAAAATTAGCCGGGTGTGGTGGCGGGCGCCTGTAGTCCCAGCTACTCGGGAGGCTGAGGCAGGAGAATGGTGTGAACCCAGGAGGCGGAGCTTGCAGTGAGCCGAGATTGCGCCACTGCACTCCAGCCTGGGGTGACAGAGAGAGACTCTGTCTCAAAAAAAAAAAAAAAAAAAAAAAAAAAGAAGAAGAAGAAGGGAGGTACATGTGCAGAACGTGCAGGTTTGTTGCATAGGTATACATGTGCCATGATGGTTTGCTGCACCCATCAACCCGTCATCTACGTTAGGTATTTCTGCACATGTACACCAGAATTTAAAGTATAATAAAGAAAAACTTTTAAAAATAAATAAAATGTTCTCCTAAAAAAATAAAGAAGGGAGGTATGCTGTGGAAGGGACATACTCAGTATGTGTTCAAATAATTATATATAATGATACATGCTATGCTATGTATGCAATGATTTTGCTGAAAGAGAAAATAATGAGAGACACAAATTTGATGGCAACATTTCTAGAGAAATGATATTCTCGACATGAAATATAAGTAGAAATTATTCAGGAGAAGAGAGAGGAAGTAATGTTTCAGGCCAATGGAGCAACAGGTGCAAAGTCATAGAGATTGGAAACACATTGGCATATATACTTTTGTATTGTTTCTATGAAATCATTTGCCAAATTAGGCTAGTGCCATGGCCAGATTAGGGCTTATCAGTCAACAAAAATATTTAAATAATTATCATTGACTCAGAGCCATTACAACTAAATTATGAGCTCTTATTCATATAATAGATATCCATTTGCACATCCTTCATAAACTATCACTGACACCTTTCTGTGTTGAACTAAAAGATTGGGGCATGCTCTTTATTGCTATTATGCTACTTATTATTGTAGTAAATTTAAGTGACATTCATAGATCTCAAAAACTATACTTAATGAGGGCAATCAATTTGAGATAAAAGAACATGATAGGATTCATACAGTCATGTATTCCTTCAATAAGCATGTGGTGTCTACTTGCAAGTAACTACTAGGTGATGAGGATAAAAAGATGAGTTAAATTGTTTTCAGTGAACACAGAGGAGGAAAGTAAGGCATGCATACAAATGAGTGAAGTGTGAGAGTGGTTACTTAAGTAGAGGCAAGAGGAGAAACAGGCTTACTTTTATTTTTAAGACTGTACCACTTTGCATATGTGTTAGGCTAAAAGAAAGAAGGTGATAGAAATGGAGAGACTGAAGATATTAAAGATATGGCAAAAATCAGAAGGATAGAGGCCTTGAGGAGAGAATAAATGATTGAACAAAAGCAGATGTGGAAAGAAAGTGTTTGCACAAATAAATGTTACAGGCAAATTTTAAAATAAAGAGAAAAGTTATTGGAGTTGGCTCCTGGTGGTAAATACCTACTCCATGAAACATAAGTTAATGTACTGAAAATTAAAGGCCAGGCCAGGCTCAGTTTTGTGTTCTCATTGAACAAATGAGAAATAAGGTTTGAGGAGATTAGTTCAAAATTAAAACAAACTTTACACTTCTTTCTCTTAATACATTTGGTTTAGTTCCTCCTAAGTTGATGATGATGCTGATGATTGGAATGGCATTAATTACACTTTGCAGTTTTCAAAAGTTTAATAATGAGCCCTAAAATTGTGACTAAAGAAATGTTAATGCTAAATACTTCAGATTTATGACAACTCTTTCTCTTCTTTCACCGTAAAAGGTAGCTGAAAGCATACACAAATATGCAACTCTATATATTCATCAACAAAACATTTAAAAATTGATATTGCAAGATTTTGTTCCTTGAATAAATCATTCAGAGTAAGGTTGAAACACTACTAATATTTAAAAATGGGTTGATGTCATCAGATGTCAGCTTGCCTTGCACATAGTAAACATCAAATAAACCTAAGTTGAATAGAATTGTTCTCATTTTTTCACTTTTACTTTTGCATAAACTCAACATTTCTTTGATTTCTCATCTTTTCTTTGAATTTATATCTCATGTTTTTCAAAGTGAAGCTATGTGAAAAGAAATGAAATTAACTGGTAACTGTAAAGTTTAGTATAATGTGCAACAAATATTCTCAAGTATCCATATTATGGTAATCAGGCTGATGCAATATTTATCTCATATCTTATAAAATGTATTTACTACATATACTAAATTTTATGGTGAAACAAGCTAAAAGAGCTTTCTCTGTGACTTACTTAAGCTACACATTCAGTTTTTGAGAGTTTTCATGGTATTTGTCTTTAAAACACACACACACAAATACAGTGACAAAATGCTTTTGGTTCTAATCATTCAATTATATTTTATATTTTTCCTATCTTTATCTCAAAGTTTGCATGTATTTGTATCATAGATTATCATGTTTTTCCACTTCCTGCATCATTTTTCCCTCTTCTTGGAGGTACCTTGGCAAAATAGTCCAACATGTCTGTATTCCCATGCCATTCATCTGCTGCTGAGCAAATATTTGCTAGGTAATTGTTTTTATCAGAGTGTCATAAATTTCATGAAACTGAACCGTCAGTAAATCTCTTCTCTGCATGAAACAATAATCTATTGCCTAAAATTACTGAACAAATTAAAAACAAATATAGAAAGTTTGAGTTTTTTCTTAATACTCTGAGCTCCTACACATTTTAAAGTGTAAAAACCTCTGACATTTTTTCTTAGAAGTTTATAAATACTAAGTAACATTCCTTTTAAATGTTAGATAGGGTACTCCTGATTCTTTCAGGCCATCTATTTCTCAACACAAGGGCCATACAAGCTAAGGCAACAAATGGTTTCTTTGTTTTTGGATCCAATGCTCAGGAGCAAGTACACACACACATTCATTCTTTCCCTTGTTAAGCAACTGTCCACCATTCTGTAAAATCACAGAGGTAAGAAGGTAATTTTAATTGTGTGACTCTGAAATGTACGTGACTCCAGCTAGCATTCTTTGTGTTTGACACTTGCACACTCTCTCTTTTCCTCTCATCTCAAGGGGAAGTCTTGGTCTTCCATTTCATTTTTACTTTTAGTGTTTTCTATTGAGGCAAAGTGAATACAATGAAGAGCAGCATGGCTTTTCTGAGTTTGTCTAGTGATAGAAAAAATAAGAATGTGGAACCTTTACGCAGTTCAACAGTATTTCCTATTAATGACACAGTACTCTTGTGGAGAAGGGATTGGTCTGAAGAATGGCATCTCAAGATAAAGATGATAGAAGCAGAAGAGGAATAAAAGAGGTAATAGTCTGCTCCCATTCTTAAATATAGCCAATGATCTGAAAAGCTGAGAAGTGCTTTGTGGTTTGTTGAAATCAATTCCTCTTTAAGATCTTCATTTTGGTCTACAACATATTTGTTTCTTTTTTATTGCTGATGTTTCTACATGAATTTATGAAATTGAATTAATGGACTCTATTCTTAATTCAGTTTTCAAAATTTTCAATCGTTTAATATTAATTTGAAAACAAGTCTTTTCAGTTTTCAATTATTTACTCCTCTTATGACTTTATTATCTGATACAGAAATATGACATTTTAGCTAGTTGTGAATTTGTTGAATTGAAAAAGCATTATATAATCAATACAACAATTAGGTTTAAGATTTATTTCAATTACAGATGGGAAATTTTACTTATCAGAGCTACTTGTGCTTTGGTTCAGTGGTGAAGTCCAAATATAATGTATAATACATCTTTCATTATAAAATGAATAATACATCTTACATTTTATAATGAAAGATGTATTATATATACTATATATGTACTATATAAGAGATTGTAAAATAATATATATCCTTCTTTTTGTGTTAAGTATTAACTTTGTAGAAGTTATGGACAATTATAAATGATGTAAAAAATGAAAAGTATTTGTTCATGTTTCAGCAGAGCTAAAAGAAGCGTTGGTCTACTGCCCTTGTTTTTGTAATAAGCAATGTTACATGCTTTGTAACAAGCAATGAAGGCGTTGTAAAATTCATTGAGTCAATGGATTTTAAATTTTACAGCTAGACAGGAGGAATCAGTTCTAGCATTGTTATACACCACTGATGACTACAGTTAACAGGAATGTATAGTTTATAATAGCTAGAAGGAGAATACTGATCTTTACCAACACAAAGAAATGATAAATATTTGAGATGATAGATATGCTAATTACGCTGATCTGATCACTCTACAGTATATGTAACATCAATGATGTTATCAAAACATCAATGTGTATCTTATAAATATTCACAACTATTATTTGTCAATTAAAAGTAAAAAAACTTTTATCATAATTTCTTTAAGAATATACAAGTTTTATATCTTGATTCCAATTAGGGAACTACAGCTTGGACAAATAATTAGTCTTATTGATGTTATTAGGTCAAGGACCAGAAATGAACCTATAACAACTTAACTGAGAGCTCACTCTGTGTTATACCTCACTAAAGGTAATTGTTCTTTATGAAGTATTTTTCAATGTTGGCCTCTTTAAAGCATTATATTATTTAGAGCAGAATGTATTAAATTAATTAAATTAAATTATGCTCTAAATTAATAAAAAATTAATTAAATAAATACCCCCGTGTTTATGTTAGGCAAAGCAGTTTATCAAAATTATCAAAACACTTTCTTATCCTTAAAGCAGCTTGCAATCTCCTGATAGGAAAAGTAATTTTTGTAAAGAGATGTCCTGGCCAGGCACAGTGGCTCACACCTGTAATCCCAGCACTTTTGGATCATGAGGTCAGGAGTTCAAGACCAGCCTGGCCAAGATGGTGAAACCCCGTCTCTACTAAAAATACAAAAATTAGCTGTGCGTGGTGGGGCGTGCTTGTAATCCCAGCTACTTGGGACGCTGAGGCAGAGAATTGCTTGAACCTGAGAGATGGAGGTTGCTGTGAACCGAGATCGCATCACTGCAATCCACCCTGGGTAAGAGAGCGAGACTCCATGTTAAAAAAAAAAAAAAAAAAAAAAGAAAAGAAAAAAGAAGGAAAAATATGTCCCAGAGCATTAATTTTGGCAGAAAATGATGTCAGCAAAAGTATAGAGATGGGACAACTAATGATAGGTTTTGGTAGTACTGTGACTCAATTTAAAATATATGCATTGTTGTAGCTGCAAAGGAGCCTAGAAAAGAGTTGCTGAAGGACAGTTATAGAACTCCTTAATGGAACACTGCCAAATCTGAAATGTATTCTTTAAGCAGTAGAAACGATTAAAGCTTTTAGAGCAAAGAAATGACATGACAAGCTTGAGTCTCTGAAAGATTATCCCATCAGAATTATTGACATGTTGGAGAATAGAGGGAGAGAAACCAGTCTGGTGAAAAAAATTCCCAGTGAGATTCCCTGAAGCAGTGTTGAGTGAGTGATATTCAGAAGGCTACTTTGAATATGAGAAAACAGGCTCATTTATCTGGATTATTTTATGTGATTGAAGAAGATAAAATTATCTTCTCTTCATTGGATCTCCACTGGATCTTTTGCTTACAGTGGAGGGAGAAAAGAAGACAATGGTATTTGTACAAACATCTCTATGTTTTCACAGATATGCATTTTATTTCTTATAAAATCTGGCAATGCCTCAAAGCATTTTAGATTGACCTCTTGCTGCTATGGGTTTGTTTCTGTTAATATGTAAAGGGACTAGGAAAAAGATCAACTCAGAACATCACTGGCGAATGGGTAGGAACCATAGGTCAAATAAAAAATGTGTTATAAACATAAAGGGATGTTCAAATATTAAACATAAATTAAAATAAAAACATACTTTCTTTTAGAACCATTCTGTTAGGCATAGAACAAGCAGTTTGGTAGCACAGTGTGTTGGCTACAGTGGGACGAGACAGACACTGTAATACACTAATAGTGGGAGTATTAGTATCATCGCTATGGAGGAAAACTTGGCAGTAAAAGCAAAATTTTAAGTGTACCTTCTCAATGACCTAGCAATACTACTTCAAGATCCACTCATATAAAATTCATAACTAAGAATTTTAATTTCATATTTATTTGTTTTCATATGAGAAATAAATTGATAGATAATTTTAGGTGAGGAACTATTCATATAAATCATGTATAACTTTATCAAAAGTACTCTATTAAAAATTAGATACATTTTTGTTATGTAGCTACCCAAAATTATATTAAGAAAAATTGAAACAACATTATCTATAAATAGAATGATACATGTATAAAATGATGACTACTTCTGAGGGAGTGAAACTCCATCTTGGGAAAAAAAAATCTGATGTGTAGGAGATATTGGACCATATATAATGTCTAAACCGGACAAGTTATAAGAATTATAAATGAGAACACTAGGTCATTTCTTCCTTCTAAATTAATATTTATCCAAGCAACTGTATGGCATTTCTGAATAGCTGGCATTTCGATACGCAACGTGAAAAAATAAGCCATGGGCAGAAACTCTACAAGCCAAAAGAGAGTGGGGGCCAATATTCAACATTCTCAAAGAAAAGAATTTTCAACCCAGAATTTCATATCCAGCCAAACTAAGCTTCATAAGTGAAGGAGAAATAAAATACTTTACAGACAAGCAAATGCTGAGAGATTTTGTCACCACCAGGCCTGCCCTAAAAGAGCTCCAGAAGGAAGTGCTAAACATGGAAAGGAACAACTGGTACCAGCCGCTGCAAAATCATGCCAAAATGTAAAGACCATCGAGACTAGGAAGAAACTGCATCAACTAACGAGCAAAATAACCAGCTAACATCATAATGACAGGATCAAATTCACACATAACAATATTAACTTTAAATGTAAATGGACTAAATTCTCCAATTAAAAGACACAGACTGGCAAATTGGATAAAGAGTCAAGACCCATCAGTGTGCTGTATTCAGTAAACCCATCTCACTTGCAGAGACACACATAGGCTCAAAATAAAAGGATGGAGGAAGATCTACCAAGCAAATGGAAAACAAAAAAAGGCAGGGGTTGCAATCCTAGTCTCTGATAAAACAGACTTTAAACCAACAAAGATCAAAAGAGACAAAGAAGGCCATTACATAATGGTAAAGGGATCAATTCAACAAGAAGAGCTAACCATCCTAAATATATATGCACCCAATACAGGAGCACCCAGATTCATAAAGCAAGTCCTGAGTGACCTACAAAGAGACTTAGACTCCCACGCATTAACAGTGGGAGACTTTAACACCCCACTGTCAGCATTAGACAGATCAACGAGACAGAAAGTCAACAAGGATACCCAGGAATTGAACTCAGCTCTGCACCAAGCGGACCTAATAGACATCTACAGAACTCTCCACCCCAAATCAACAGAATATACATTTTTTTCAGCACCACACCACACCTATTCCAAAATTGACCACATACTTGGAAGTAAAGCTCTCCTCGGCAAATGTAAAAGAACAGAAATTATAACAAACTATCTCTCAGACCACAGTGCAATCAAACTAGAACTCAGGATTAAGAATCTCACTCAAAACCGCTCAACTACATGGAAACTGAACAACCTGCTCCTGAATGACTACTGGGTACATAATGAAATGAAGGCAGAAATAAAGATGTTCTTTGAAACCAACGAGAACAAAGACACAACATACCAGAATCTCTGGGACACATTCAAAGCAGTGTGTACAGGGAAATTTATAGCACTAAATGCCCACAAGAGAAAGCAGGAAAGATCTAAAACTGACACCCTAACATCACAATTAAAAGAACTAGAAAAGCAAGAGCAAACACATTCAAAAGCTAGCAGAAGGCAAGAAATAACTAAAATCAGAGCAGAACTGAAGGAAATAGAGATGCAAAAAACCCTTCAAAAAATTAATGAATCCAGGAGCTGGTTTTTTGAAAGGATCAACAAAATTGATAAACTGCTAGCAAGACTAATAAAGAAAAAAAGAGAGAAGAATCAAATAGACGCAATAAAAAATGATAAAGGGGTTATCACCACCGATCCCACAGAAATACAAACTACCATCAGAGAATACTACAAACACCTCTACGCAAATAAACTAGAAAATCTAGAAGAAATGGATAAATTCCTCGACACATACACTCTCCCAAGACTAAACCAGGAAGAAGTTGAATCTCTGAATAGACCAATAACAGGGTCTGAAATTGTGGCAATAATCAATAGCTTACCAACCAAAAAGAGTCCAGGACCAGATGGATTCACAGCCGAATTCTACCAGAGGTACAAGGAGGAACTGGTACCATTCCTTCTGAAACTATTCCAATCAATAGAAAAAGAGGGAATCCTCCCTAACTCATTGTATGAGGCCAGCATCATCCTGATACCAAAGCCGGGCAGAAACGCAAACAAAAAAGAGAGTTTTAGACCAATATCCTTGATGAACATTGATGCAAAAATCCTCAATAAAATACTGGCAAACCGAATCCAGCAGCACATCAAAAAGCTTATCCACCATGATCAAGTGGGCTTCATCCTTGGGATGCAAGGCTGGTTGAATATATACAGATCAATAAATATAATCCAGCATATAAACAGAACCAAAGACAAAAACCACATGATTATCTCAATAGATGCAGAAAAGGCCTTTGACAAAATTCAACAACGCTTCATGCTAAAAACTCTCAATAAATTAGGTATTGATGGGACGTATTTCAAAATAATAAGAGCTATCTATGACAAACCCACAGCCAATATCATACTGAATGGGCAAAAACTGGAAGCATTCCCTTTGAAAACTGGCACAAGACAGGGATGCCCTCTCTCACCACTCCTATTCACCATAGTGTTGGAAGTTCTGGCCAGGGCAATTAGGCAGGTGAAGGAAATAAAGGGTATTCAATTAGGAAAAGAGGAAGTCAAATTGTCCCTGTTTGCAGATGACATGATTGTATATCTAGAAAACCCCATTGTCTCAGCCCAAAATCTCCTTAAGCTGATAAGCAACTTCAGCAAAGTCTCAGGATACAAAATCAATGTACAAAAATCACAAGCATTCTTATACACCAACAACAGACAAACAGAGAGCCAATTCATGAGTGAACTCCCATTCACAATTGCTTCAAAGAGAATAAAATACCTAGGAATCCAACTTACAACGGATGTGAAGGACCTCTTCAAGGAGAACTACAAACCACTGCTCAGTGAAATAAAAGAGGACACAAACAAATGGAAGAACATTCCATGCTCATGGGTAGGAAGAATCAATATCGTGAAAATGGCCATACTGCCCAAGGTAATTTACAGATTCAATGCCACTCCCATCAAGCTACCAATGACTTTCTTCACAGAATTGGAAAAAACTACTTTAAAGTTCATATGGAACCAAAAAAGAGCCCGCATTGCCAAGTCAATCCTAAGCCAAAAGAACAAAGCTGGAGGCATCACACTACCTGACTTCAAACTATACTACAAGGCTACAGTAACTAAAACAGCATGGTACTGGTACCAAAACAGAGATATAGATCAATGGAACAGAACAGAGCCCTCAGAAATAACGCCGCATATCTACAACTATCTGATCTTTGACAAACCTGACAAAAACAAGCAATGGGGAAAGGATTCCCTATTTAATAAATGGTGCTGGGAAAACTGGCTAGCCATATGCAGAAAGCTGAAACTGGATCCCTTCCTTACACCTTATACAAAAATCAATTCAAGATGGATTAAAGACTTAAACGTTAGACCTAAAACCATAAAAACCCTAGAAGAAAACCTAGGCAATACCATTCAGGACATAGGCATGGACAAGGACTTCATGTCTAAAACACCAAAAGCAATGGCAACAAAAGCCAAAATTGACATATGGGATCTAATTAAACTAAAGAGCTTCTGCACAGCAAAAGAAACTACCATCAGAGTGAACAGGCAACCTACAAAATGGGAGAAAATTTTCGCAACCTACTCATCTGACAAAGGGCTAATATCCAGAATCTACAGTGAACTCAAACAGATTTACAAGAAAAAAACAAACAACCCCATCAAAAAGTGGGTGAAGGACATGAACAGGCACTTCTCAAAAGAAGACATTTATGCAGCCAAAAAACACATGAAAAAATGCTCACCATCACTGGCCATCAGAGAAATGCAAATCAAAACCACAATGAGATACCATCTCACACCAGTTAGAATGGCAATCATTAAAAAGTCAGGAAACAACAGGTGCTGGAGAGGATGTGGAGAAATAGGAACACTTTTACACTGTTGGTGGGACTGTAAACTAGTTCAACCATTGTGGAAGTCAGTGTGGCGATTCCTCAGGGATCTAGAACTAGAAATACCATTTGACCCAGCCATCCCATTACTGGCTATATACCCAAAGGACTATAAATCATGCTGCTATAAAGACACATGCACACGTATGCTTATTGCGGCATTATTCACAATAGCAAAGAGTTGGAACCAACCCAAATGTCCAACAATGATAGACTGGATTAAGAAAATGTGGCACATATACACCATGGAATAATATGCAGCCATAAAAAAGGATGAGTTCATGTCCTTTTTAGGGACGTGGATGAAATTGGAAGTCATCATTCTCAGTAAACTATCGCAAGAACAAAAAACCAAACACCGCATATTCTCACTCATAGGTGGGAATTGAACAATGAGAACACATGGACACAGGAAAGGGAACATCACACTCTGGGGACTGTTGTGGGGTGGGGGGAGGGGGGAGGGATAGCATTGGGAGATATACCTAATGCTAGATGACGAGTTAATGGGTGCAGCGCACCAGCATGGCACATGTATACATATGTAACTAACCTGCACATTGTGCACATGTACCCTAAAACTTAAAGTATAATAATAAAAAAAAAAAGAAAGAAAAACTAAGCCATGAATTTAGATCTTAAGAACTATTATCTTATAAGAAAAATACATGGAGCAAAGATTAAAAGACACCTTTGTTTCAGGTGAAATATCAATTCCAGGTTTGTTTGGTTTTTTTTTCAAATAGCTCATGGTATGAATATTTATTTAATGACTTCCTCAGTGAACAGTACAAAATTGCTTTCTATCAGCTCCCTCTCCTGTCTGCTTGGTGGCTTTCTTCACCTTTTTTTCCTCTCTATCCAATAGTTCCAGACCCAATAAATTTTTCTCATACCTTTTTGAAAGAAAATATTCTTATCTGAGATTTCTTTCTTCCATTTCTTTCTACTATATTATATCTTCTGCAACAGTAGAATAATCAGTAAATGTTTCAGGAAGAGGTTTACTTATTGCACGGGTATAAAGGACATACATACTTAAAATATTATATGATTTACCACACATATAATAAAATGTGTTTTTATTTTATAATAACTCATTGACATAGTAGCCAATCCAAAAAAGCTACCATAGTAATATATCTAGATGTCATTTTTGGAAAAAAAATTGTAAAATGTTTGCAAGCTTAAATCATTGTATTTTTGCTGTAAAATACAATTACAATTCACAATTTAAAAGATTTCAGTTTCAGTTTGTTTTAAAGAGTTAGCATTAGGCCAGGCGTGGTGGCTCACGCCTGTAATCCCAGCACTTTGGGAGGCCGAGACGGGCGGATCACGAGGTCAGGAGATCAAGACCATCCTGGCTAACACGGTGAAACCCAGTCTCTACTAAAAATACAAAAATAAAAATAAAAATAAAAATTAGCCAGGCGTGGTGGCGAGCGCCTCCAGTCGCAGCTACTCGGGAGGCTGAGGCAGCAGAATGGCGTGAACCCGGGAGGCGGAGGTTGCAGTGAACCGAGATCGCGCCACTGCACTCCAGCCTGGGCGACAGAGCGAGATTCCATCTCAAAAAAAAAAAAAAAAAAGAGAGTTAGCATTAGACGCCACATTTATAGCACAAGTCTGTTTCATAAGATCACTTTTTTGAAGTAGCAAAACAGACAATAAAAGTGAAAAAATAATATAATTGGGGAACATTATTAATTTCAAATGAATGTATTCTGTACTATTTTGTTATCACACAGGATTCAAAAGACATTATGTGAAATATCTTCCTCTACTTACAAAATAGAATCTATGCTCTAAATAATTTTGTAAAGGGAAATGAAGGACATCCCTTTTCTAGCCCAACAAAACAAAATTAAAGTAAAATGTCCAGAAGAGGTAATCACTGTCAAAATGAGCAAATAAAATAAGGTCATTAAAATAAAACATGTCACCATCAGCAAACATACATGAATACACAGCATCCAGCCAAGAAAATAGTGATTTTCTGCATATTTAGAATACTAGAGTCATTGTATCCACATATATTTATACAAAATTTAAATAATTTTATACCTTAAAAAGTCTAAGGATAAAAAGAAATTTTGTAAGCATCTATAGCTAAAGATATGAAGGAAGTAATTTTGATTCCTAAATCTACAGTCTCATTTCCTTCTCGCAAAAAAAAACTATGAGTTAGTAGTCAATATCATCTTTTACAGGGAAAGAAATGAAAACATAGAAAGGTTATGGTGTTGCTCAGGGAAACACCTGGGTTAAACCTGAGTCTAAGAAGCCCATGCTCTTTTTGTGACCTCACCATATGCCATGAATGTGGTTTCTTCTCTCTTCTCTCTCTTCTGTGGAGTTCATTCTAGATGCAGTTGTCAATCCCTAGATTTTCATTTCATTCCATTCTTCTCTTTGTCAAAACCTCCTAACTCACACAGTCATAGAGTAACAGTGGATCAAAACCTGAAGAATATGCTTTAAATTCATTGATTATAATTCTTTTGATTGAGAAATTAATAAACTAGGGAGAGAAGCAAGGTGACCTGTACAAGTCACAGTAAAGGGAAAAACTGAGAAGAAACTCAAATATCATCTAATCTTGAGATAAATATTATTCTCTTGCTTTGGAACAAAATCCCAATTTTTTCAGTTTATCTTAGAATCCTCCAAATTTCCTCATTTTATAATTTTTAACCTCTCTCTTTGCATTAAAAGCATTCTTTCTGTACATTAATTAGCTTTCCTACTGTTTTCCTACACATTTGTTTTGTTTCTGCCTCTCTTCCCACCAACTGAAAAGAGTTTGTCTAAGAAGTCAGTTTAATCCATCACCACAATGACCATTTCTGTTCCTCCAGTGTTTCTACAGTCTTTTACAGGTATTTTTTCCTTAAGTTTCTTATTAAGCTGTGTCCTGACTGAACGATTTTCCATCTTTTCAATGTCAGTGGTCAAACTTCTCACTTCCTTTGAATCCCCAAAAGCATATGGTATCAAACATACCAGATTTATTAGAAGTATACATTCAAGAAAATTCTTTGAATAAAAGATGAGATACACAGAATAATCTTTAAATGCTGATGTTCTAAAGATCTCAATATCCCCTTCCACAATTAGAACAGGATTGTGTCTCATTAAAAAAAAAATAGAATATTTGGGTAGACAGATAAGCTTAGAATGAAAATTGAAGTAAAATAAAAATTTCTTCCTAGACTCAAACCTTTAATGATTTTAATACTATAATTTTTTTACCATTGAAAAGTAGATATTTTTTCTTGTATATAATATTATGACAGGTATTTTGTACGTAAAGAAAGATTTTACTTGTCCAAAATTATACAGCTAATAAGTTTTAAAGTCAAAACTGAACCTAAAATTCAAATACCACATCCTTTAATCCATATGACTCCCTATGTTAGCTATATTATTATAATTATTAAAATAATGTTTACTATGACTTCTGCCACTATTACTACTATTACTATTTGGAAACGGCCATATAAGCAAAGCTTCATTGGCTTCATAGTTAATCCACTCCTGCAAAATAAGTTTTATCAGCAGCATTAATATATCATACTACATAAATGAAAGAAATCAGTCTTATTTATAACATATAGAAATGGCATTTTTTTCCACAGCATCTCAGCCACATTCATTTTTACCTTGAGTTTGGCTATACCATGAGAGATTAGATGGCTCTGAGATATTAAAGTTAGCAACATAATGAGATGTCAAAAAACATCACATTCATTTAAAGTGGTTAGGTGAATCTTGGAACCAAAGTCACTTTAAAATAACTTAGGCACTGAAAAGTAAATGCAGCAGTTAGAGAACTAATGTTAGCATGAAATTGTCCAAGCTGGAAAGACTCATTAGGAGAAAAGTAACAGAAGTCTCCAGAAGGAGAAATATTGAAAATCTGTATCTTAGTCACATATACCTCTATGACTGCACATTTCACATTGAATTATATTCACCCTATGGGTGTATTTCCTCCACCAGGTTTGAACTATTTATTCTCTTTTATATTCTTCCTTTGTACTGCCACTGTCCACAGTAGACCATTTATGTGAGTAAATTAATGTTGAAATTGCATTAAATTACTCACTGTGGCACTTACTAACAAGACCACGTTAAAGAATGAGAAACAAACAAACACAGTCATATATTTTTAAAACAGTTAATATGTATAATTTTCATAAAATCAATTCTGGATCACTTAACTTCAATCTCAGATAACTACTCCTTCTTACTAAGATTACTGTTATTTGAAAATGTTAAAGAATTGAATGTAAGTTTTAGGAAAATAAATAACTAAGGAAAGTAAAAATTCAAAGAACTAAAATGACTATTCATTGGGCTTCAAGGACATGTTTTATATTTTCTTTATTTTATTTGCAAACTGGGGTTATATACTTAGGATATAAAAGACTTCAGATAAAATATTAACCTTTTTAGTCACCGTCTTTTACCTCATCTCTGCTACACTTATCGCGCCATCTTTAAATATTCAGTGTTTAAAGAAAAAGTCTTAAAACTTGAATTCATTCCCCCAAACACATAAATTGCTTGTCATAATTTGTCAATTAAAGCATCAGGAGAAGGCATCTGTACAAGCAATGTAATACCAGAAATTCAGCAATATTTAAACTGCCTTCCACTCAATTGCACTATGGTAATTTTATGTTTTATCATATTCAGTTCTACTGAGGAATTTTTAGTGTATATATTCATTCTAAAACAATTTATATGACATTATTAAAATTAAGCATAAGTAAACTTTGGTTCAGATACAATGACGATTAAATACTATTACGGTTTCAAATTTGTTGTCTATTAACCTCCTTTAATATTGTAACAGAAAAACTAGAATTTATATACAAGTTGACATTTGAATTTTAAAACACAGAAAAGTAGTGCATATTTCAAGAGATATATTCTCTGCTTTATTATCAAATGCTCTAAAATCGCTACTACCTTTAAAAAGCCCATGAATTAAAGTTTACCCAAAATTTGTCAAACACAGAAATATACTCTCATCTACATTTCTTGCTGAGTTTCTGTTTGATTTAGGGCTTCCATTAAACATTTATTACTAGGAAAAAAAGAAAACCTGCCAGTCTGGGAAAAATTAAGAAGTATTATAGGGCAAATGGATGTTCCCTTACATATATGCCATGGAATAAAATCACTTAAATCCTTTTTTCTACTTCATTATAATACTCTAAAAGATTCCCAAGTTTCATAATTAAAACTGTCAAAAAAAAAACCCCTTCTGTCATTTGATGTAGCTGGTGAGTGCATACCAAGTTCATTGTGAAAAAGTTCACATCTAGCAATTAAGTTCTGTAGTTGTTGGTTAAGAGAATGCGGGTATAGCAGTTTCCACTGAGTTAATATAATTGGATCTTAAATTTCTAATCTTAAAAGACAATGTTTTATGTATAATCAGTGGCAACAAGGAAATTACATATATTTATATTCTAATATAAGGATTTGATTTGAATAGATACAAAAATAATCAAGATGTCCACAGTCTAAAATGAAGTATAAGCCATAAAAAGCTCTGATCTTCAAATTTAAGAGATGTGGGTTCTAATTCCATCTTTTGCATTACTTGCAATGTTGAACACATCACTTCACCTTTTTATACCCTTGCTTATTAGTGAAGAAACTTTGTTTATTATGAGTAGGTAAAAATATGAGCTCGCATGGCCCCTTCCAATATTAAATGGTATTTATTCTGTCACTTTTTCCTAAGGGTTCCACAATTAATCATCAATAAATCATGAGATTTGTGCTGAATTTGAATGATACGGTTATTTTAGCATGAACTCTCATTCACCAGCTCACACATTAGAATAACAGCATCACAGAAGGAGGAAGAGAGTATTAAATAGAATTATGAAGCTTAGAGTTTCAATTCTCTTATCAATGCCATAACTTTTGAAATTCTTATCATTGAAAATACAAAATTAGAAAAGAAATAGTGGTCACTAACAAGTTGTTTTAATAATTTTTGCTATATGGGAGATAATATTAAGCCAGTCTATATCTTTTAGAAAAGAATATGAAGAAGAAGGTTTTAAAATAACAAAATAAGGCAAAATACAATACCTAACAGATTAAACATGAGACTTTTCACAGTGTTTTCAGATATATTTGGGGTCAATCTGTTCCAGTGCCCAGGAATTCCTATCATATTTAATGATCATGAAACTGCCAATTAAATAAAAATGTATTTTTAGAAAACAATAAAATTCTTTTAAAAATTCCTGTTGTCACTCACCTGTAACTTCCAATAATATTACTTTTAATCATCAGGGATTTTGTCTAGTTTAGTACACTTAAAGGCTCAAGAACAATAGTATCTCAACAAATATTGCATAATTGAAAGTAAGTTCTTGCATGTAACTGAAATGGGAGAACCTAGGTGAATTAGAATAGTTGTTCTAAATTCTTGAGTATTGCCTTTATATTTCGTTTAATTTCAGAAAAAAATCCTTAATACTTCTAAGTATAACATTAATTATTTAAGAAAATAAAGATAAAACTTTATATACTTAAAAGTAAATTTCTCACAAAATCAACATCCCATTTCTCTACTATTTATATGATAAATACAAACTCCTGCAACTAATGAAATATTTGTAAAAATACATTAATAGACCTGGTTGCAGCTCCAGATACTTTATTACTATCATTATAATATCTCTCGATGAGAGCATCTCAGTATTTTTAGCCTCATGATGAATGCTTCTGCCAATATTATAACTCACAAAAGGAAGAGAATTTCAATCAACTTTTTATCACCTATATAATCAGCAACATTTCTCTTCCTAAACATATGCTACGTTTACTACTGGATAGTAATGGAAGATGAGATGTTCTCCTTTCTGGGTTGTTAGCAGCTATAAGAATCCTATGAAGAACATCTCTACGCCCTTCATAAAATGTTTAAATATATAATTATACTTTTCCAGTCAATGGTTATGAAAGAGAATTTTTGATCATTCAGATAAATGAAATATTCCTTGCCTAAAATGCAATTGCTTATTTGGATTCTGTTCAGTTTAGTCACTTTCCCTTTAATTGGCTCCATATTTTCTAGTAAAGATACTAACTGTAACAATATTTTTCATAGAAAACTCATAAAATGTATTGGCTTCTTGCTTTTTATCTAGATCTCCGCTCTATGCAAATTGAGTGTGAGAAATATTTGGAAACATGACTGGCATAAGAGGAAATAGGTGAGTCCTGTCGGATCTGTTATGAGAAGGTCATTTGTGAAAATAAATAAATAAATAAAAAGTGGCCATTGGGCAACAAGTTATTTAGATCATTATGAGTTTTTAAGAACCACTTAGAAAAAGAGAAAAAACAACTTTACACCCGTGTTTTAAAATGTATCTAATGAAACATTTTCTGAAACGTTTAAAAATGGCAGTGATCACAAGAAATTCTAGCTTAAGAAATACACAGGAAATGAATATGACTGTAATTTCTTAAGATTCTCATGAATGATAGATCTCACACTATTTTATATTAGATTAAAAATGAGATTCTTTTTTTTATTTCCATAAAACAGACAATCTTGATTTATTTTTCACAATTACTTTGTGGCCTCTCTGGAAAGTTCCCAGTTCCCTGCACTGGAGAAAAGAGAAACTACCATACTTTGAATAGCTTTGTAACACGTATGAGCTTATGTTTGAGGAGGGTATAATGTCAAAAATATAACATGCACTACTCTGGGATATAAAACTAAAGACGTGTGTTTTAATTTATGGGGATTAATAGACATAAAATTATCTACAATTAGCTTATGCAAATATTTATAATAGGCAAAACATAACTGAAGTTATACAGTGTTGTGTCAATTTCTTGGGATTCAATTCAATACTTCAAAATAATTTTGATGAAAGAAATCCATTGTAAAACCAGTTTTCTTAAAAAGCAAATTCATGTTTCCCTTTAAAAATTGCTTTTATAGCCACTGTATTAAAACACTATATTTTGTGTCATTCAATTTAAATAAAATAATTAACTAAAACACTGTTTAAGTGTCTGGAAAAAACATAAACTAATAATATTCAGTTTATTAGAACACTTCTAACAATACACATTTGAATCTCCAAAAATCATAAAACAGGATTTCTTACTTGAGTGGGTAGGGAGATGGAATATAGTTCATAATAGTTTTTAATCTTAAATCTTAAGCATTAGGAGTTTTATATACTTCATTACTTTTTAAAATGTACCAGCCTCTAATGTGGAGTTATTGATCACAAATGCTCAGAAAATAGACCTCTGCAGTGATTCTACCGCTTTGAGCTTCCGACCAGTCTCTTTCCTGCTATAAAGTGTTAAGAAGTTCATGTAACATGTTAGCACAGCCTTACAACACGGTTCTTAACATCTTGTGAGAAACATATTACTCTCTTACTTTATGCTTGGATTGTCAGAAAGAAGAAAGAGAGATAAAATCAACTCCTGGAGTCAGAATTTCAAGAAAACAAACTACATGAATGTATGAGTTTATTATTTAAAGTAAGAGAAATAAATTTCCAACGACTTGGTAAAAATTTAAAAACCCGTATTTTAAAAGAAAGTTCAAAGACAATAGGTAATCAAGATACATGAGAAAGAATGGATTCGGCAAATTACAATATTGTAAATATCTGAGCCTCATAAAATTCTGGATTAGTTTTTGACTGATGAAGGAGACACTAAACTCTGCTACAACTTTGTTTTAGCCAATCAAACTCTCTACAGTCAAATCATCTTCACAGTATTACAGCCATCTAGAGAAGTTTTCATCATTTTTATTTTAATCTTCACAAATTATGCCTTTATTTTGTCTAGAAGTAAGACAAACTCCAAAATGCTTTGGCCAGCCTATGCGGGCCCTTTGCCCTTTACTGGCACCCTCTGGTCCATATTGCTAAGTCAGCTGTGACAGACAATCACACTCCTACCTCTACCCTGAAAGTGGTCAAGATTTTCTAAACTGTGAAGTAAAAGAGACATTTAAAGAAATACATATCAGCCAAACCTGGTACATTTCTAACAGATAGCGCTACTTAATTGGACACATAAGATTGAAGTAAATTTTTACATGCTACTAATTTTAATGATTCATCTTACATAAACATATTCTATGTATAGATTCATGATTTGATTTCAGGTTGGCTCCCTGACTAAGAATTGTTTCAGACCACCTAATACTTGAAGTACTAACTGCTCACCTTGAGAAACATTCAGGTATTTCAGCTATTCATTTAAAAATTCCACAACTGTAGCTTTTTGGATGTATTTCCAAAAGCACCTTGGTGTGCATGTGCCTCACAACTTATAGACAAAGTCCGGCATTTAGTTAATCTATGGGATTATATTTTTATATAACTTTTAAGAATCTAACTTTCTGTTCAGTTGTCTATGGAATCAGAAAGAAATTAAAATTAGCAGTTTTTCTCCTCCTTTCTCAATTTTCAGAAGTTTTAAATAATTTAAAGGATACACCAATTCCTAAGCAAAAACACTGGCACTTGTAATAATCATTTCACTGACTTTCTATTTTCAGATAGGCTTTAATATCATTCCCTCACACTCCAGCTATTTGTCAAATTCTATTCTTTATATTGAATTTCCCTTTTTATAACTTTAACTCTGATTTTTTTTGCCTTTTTCCCTTTAATGGACTTAGATGATCTTTTTATGTAATATCTTTAATTTGTTATCATTAGTTTTATATGACATATTCTTACTCATACCTCTTTTCGATTAGAGTCAGAGTAAACTTATGCCTGTTAAGTTTAAGACTCAGCATACTAGTCCCCACTTAACTTAGAATAATTTGAGCATGAAATAGGAGAATATGCAAGCAACCATGAGAATTGCTCAAAATTGACTACAGGCATTTTCAAAAACAGTTAATGACCTAATCATTATTTTTTAAAATACTGAGAGTCACAATATTAATCATAATGAACTCCTTTAAGCTCCCTGTAATGGTCATAAGTACTTCTGTAATTCTGTTGCAATTCAACAGTAATCGATGATATCTGCATTAATTTTTAAATTTGACTATTTGTCTATAATTTTAAATGCTAGTATTCTAATGAACATCTACTTCTTTCATCCTTATTTCCACAGTCGTAATTGAGAATCAAAGTAGAAGTATTGACCCTCTAAATGATTTTCTCTTTTAAATTAAGAAACAAATGAATGAAATGTAGGTAAGGCATTGAACATACAACAGTTTAAAAGTTTTTTGCTTCTCACCTGCATTTAAATTACCACATGAAATTGTATTTTTCTTGGGAGAACAGTTCTAAGATTTAAAAGTAATATAATTCTAAAATATTTAGTGGATTCTGGTTCTTTCGCAAATAAATATAGTTGAAACAACTTATTGTTCAGGTCATCAGAGTAATTCTCAGGTTTGTGTATGTGCAAATTGATATTCTCTTCCGTATATCTCCCTACAAAACATGGTAAGGATGTCTGAACATAATTTTTTAATCTATCACAATCCTATACAACCTTTAGAAAAAAGCTCAGCATAATCCAAGATACAGTTTTTCTCAGTCTCACGAACTTTGTAGAACTCCACTTATAGAGCATCCCTACTGAATTTTAACAAGTTATTGCAATGCCAGATGCCCAATTATTTAGTCTCGGAAACTCATTGCTCAAACATAAGGCATACATTCAGTACCTGAGAACGGCATCCTATTTTCCAAACATTTAGTTTCTTTTGTAGAAACATCCTCACTTTATCCTGGCATTTATTGCCTTACAATTTGCAATTTGCGTGTAGGAATTGCTTACTCTTATTTTGGGTGGCATTAGGAGATATACAAATAGGTTATATTTACTCTTGTTTCAACTTTTTGCCATAAAATCCCAGCAGGAAATAAAGTCGTGTTTTGTTTCCTTTATTTAAAAAAGCTTCATCTTACAGTTTTTACATTCTGGCAACATGGCAAGAAAGGATGGCTTTGCAGAACAGAGTGTGTCAAAAATCCTAAGTGGCTGGGAGATGAAGTGCACAATCACAGAACGCAGTCACTGGCAAAGGAATGTCAGCCACTTACCAATAAGATGCCAGACTCCACTGTCCTTCCTCTGTGACTCTCAATTCCTGTCTCCCATCCTCCTGCCCATCAGCACAGTTCAGAGAGAGCGGTTCCTCGGGTCCTTTGCAGCCTGTGGCAGAGGCGAATTGCGGAGTTCTTAATCATTCAGAGGGAATCCTCCAGCTTGCCCTGCCTCTCGCAGCAGACGGGACCCAGGTAACGCATCCTCTCCGCCCCGAGCTTTAATGGCACTTTGGCTGCCGCCTTCTCGCAGTTCCGCTCCCCCACGCCGTAGTTGGTTATATTGGGAAGTAGGTGCGGCGCCTCCTGCGGCTGGTGTGTTTGGGGCTCGCGTGTTTTCCTCCAATGCGTCCGCGCGCCCTGCGCCCCGCGCCTCTGACTGGCTGTGTCCTCCCGGGGCGGCCCCTCGCCCCTCCCCGGCCGCCCGCGCTGTCACCGGCGCCCGCGTCCAGCGCCTCACTGCCTCTTGCTGCAAAGGTTCATTGAGCATGTCCCTGGGCTTAACGAACTGTGCGCCTCCCGGAGGGTGCTCTGTGTTTCTCCACTCGTCTCACTAGTCAACCGGCATTTTCCTTCCCTGCTAAGTACAGAGGACCTGCCCCCCTTCCCCGAGCGTTTCTGCTCTGCAACCCCTCCGTATTTAACATTCATAGATTACAAAGCAAACGTGCTGGCTGGAGTCGGCACGGGAGATCCAGGCGAGAGTCCCTTCCTCCGCTCCTGTCTTCACTCTGATTCCTGTAGTCCCCGGCTCACACCTCTGACAGCAGCAGCACAGACTGACGCGTTCACTTAGGTCGGTTTGAGAGTGGACTTTTTCACTTTGCAGAATTTTCTTAAGTCCTGAATGGGAAGCACTTCTCTTTTGTTTCTGCACTTACGCGTTTCATCTAAGGACTATCAGGCTCTGCCTGTTTATATTTCTCTTTGATTTGGGGTGTTGACTCAGTTCTAAAAAAAAGCGAAGGAATGGTCTCAGCAACCTTTTTTTCGGAATTTTTATATTACAATGGCTGTAATTGGAAAAATAACACAGGTAGTAAATCCACAGTGTGGCAGCTTTAGTGCCATTGTTCTGCCAGTCCTCCTCTCTACTTTTTTTTTTTTTTTCCTCTCAGTCTTTGAGTCGTTTTCCAATTCCCACGATTGGGCTGATGGTAATTGGGTATTTGTTAAATAAATTATATAACATTTCCTTTGCAATATATTTCCATAGAGAATGTGGTTTGCACCTGTATTTAATGGAAAGGAAATCCCACGTACTGCTTTCTATCTCTGTGTCTGTATAAGAAACTGCATGGGAGTCTAGGGTCGCACCCCGTGTCCGCTGGTGTCCGTTTTTCATGTGTGTTTGAGAGCAGCCTGACCCTGGACTGACGCTGATTCTTCTGCTCACTGAATCCCCCGATGGGGTCTGACTGGCTCTAATTGGCAAGGAGAGTACAGTGCCAGGCAGCCTGTAGCTGGAAGCCGTCTACCACTAGCCCTGTGTTCTTTCTCTTGCAGTTTTTCTGGTAATTAAAATTAGTCTTTTCCTGTTTCTTGGCTGCTTCTCATTCATCCAATGATGTACAAACACCCAGTCTCTGCTTTTAATCGCTATCCTCAGGATCTAGGCTGATTGCTTGTTCTGTAGCAAAGACAAATTTGTGTGCATTTAATACTTCTCCACTCTTCCATACTTTTTATATTCGTGTTCCTGCTTTCCAGTAACTAGGTTATCTTCTTTATGTGTTAACTGAGGGATCGTTGTGGAGATTCCCCTTCTGTGGCTTTTTCTCTGCCCCACTGGCTCTTCTCCTCTGTCAGGCTGTCGGTTCACAGAGAGAACTACCAGGACTTTTATAACCACATTAAATACATCACAAAATAAATTCAAAGTGTAGGAGCTCTAACGCATTCTTTTTATTGTTCGATGAGGTTTTTGCCTTTAAAAGTGTATAATTGAGCACATGCAGCCTGAAAGAGGGATCGGGAGTGTAGAAAGCTTTCTGAAAGTTCTCTTCCCTTCTTAGAACACCATTCTATATTACCCATGATCCGATAATTTGGGCATTTTGAGTCATTATGTCACATAATTTCTTTCAACTAGCTTTGCCCTAGAAAGGATGTAAGTTGGCTTATAAAAATCTATTCAGTTTAAAAAAATGAATAAAAAATGTAGGTCAGTGAGATCAAGACAAACGGTAAAGTGATAGGAGGAGAGATAAGATGAAGCCAGAAATGAGGTTTATAGAGAAAACTGCATTGATGTTTTTGTTACAAATGGTGCTAGGTCTGCCATTAACTTTGTTAGCAGCCAATGTAAAGAAGGAAATGCTATCGGTCACATGATTCATGGTGCCCTCCTACCATTAACATGAACAAGAAAATTTACCTTTTACATGATGTAAATGGACTAAATATTTCTCCTTTCTTAAGCAAGAACTAAATAAAAGCTTTTAATGTTTCTACTTTTTATAAAGAGAGCAATATTATCACAAGACTATGGTGTGAATATATTTTTGAAACAAGTAGATAATGTAATAGCACTTTTCCTTGCGAAGTTATCTGATGCTTTAGAGGGAGAGAAAGGAAACGTTGAATCTGTTTAATTAAAAATAGTAAGGTCTATTTCTGTCAGTTCAAATTTAAAATGTTGACTTCAATCATTATTTGGGGGTGACTAGGTTACCTGGCTACACTTCATTCAGGACCCAGAAAGAGTGACTATATTTATTCTCATGTCTTTTATGACTTTTAATGTTCTAATTTGTAATAATATACAATTATATATTCCCTATTAATATCTATATATGTAACAGACAAACTGTTAGTCTATCTGACTCATCTTTCTTTAGAATTTTGCTGTTATGGAGTTAACTTATGTACTGTATATTTTTACAATTTTCTGCTTGGAGAGTAAGGGCTCTATAGATCAGGTACACTTCTGTATCCTTTTATATCCACAGTGTTCAGGTTTAAGCAGGTCAATGTCTGGAATTAGAGAAACAACAGTGCTTAAAATAAGAAACAAACAAACAAAACTCCTTGTTAGAGTTCCACTAAAAAGAAACAAACTACCTTGTGTTTTCCAAGTAAACATCAAATCTTTTCACATACCATGACCAAGATTTTCTACTATTGACATGTGAGAATGGGATTTTAAGTTATAGTTGTTTTGATGTAAGATTTGTCTTTAAAAGATATAAAAGTATGTATGCCCCATTATTAAATTCCAATGCTGTTTTCTTAATAAAATGGCATTATTAAAAGATCACTGGTTTTCTCTGTTTGATGCTAATGACATTTTTGAATTAACCAGCTCATCCTGTACCCTGGTAAAATATCATTTGTACATTAAGTTAATTAAAACATTGTTTGTAAGTGGGGTAAGTGGTTCAGTAGGTCACTTTCTCTATGCTATGGTTATGACACCTCAACCTAGCTGTCATGTTGCTGATCTGATCTTGTTGTCTAGCCATCTTTGTGTAAATGTCTTAATCTCTTTATCTCATCGTCCCCAATGGGCAAGCAAGCAGATGCAGCACATCTGTAGCAGTTGAGGTGCCTCTGAGCTTTTGTCTTATTTGTGTAACAGATTTTTATTGAAATCATGCCCTCCTTTCTCTTTCCCTTCATTTGACTCAGATAAGTTCTAGGTTCTAGTTAACAGATCATAACTATTATTATGTTCCATCAAATCATAGCATAACTGTAGGGAAGCAGACCAATGGTGAATTCATGTCTAGATCAGTCATCTTTCTTGGATCATCTGCCTTGCCTACTGGAGCTTCTTTTAGCATTTGCATTTTCTGTTTTGATGTTTTAATCCTCTATGTTAATGTGTTACCAATAATGGTGAATGGGTAAGTACTAAGATAAAAATTAAAGGAATCAAAATCTTGCATTTTCAATATATGCCAGTATTCCCTATAAGTGCAAAGTAACACATGAAGAAGCAAAAGTAAACTTTTACTTGAACTGGACAAAATATGATTTTAATTATATTTTGAGTTTCTTAGAAGATGTGTCTCAGTACTCATATCACAGCTGTTTTGTGAAAGCAGAAGTAAACATATCTTAATCAGACTTGGAAAATATACCAACTTAATTAATTTAACAGCTGCTTCAGTAAACAACGCTAAAGAACATAGTCTACTTTGTGGATGTCTTGATAACATCGGCAACCAAAACCATTAAGAAGTATGAGAGAGGAGCTCTAATTCAACTGTGGTGGTCAAGCTTTTGGTGGTCACAGTACCAACTCTTACTTACAGAAGCTGCAAATATCTAATCTCCTGTAGGTGGAATTTATGCTCACCCTTTGTGACATTTTGGTCCAACTATTTATGCAAACCATAAACATTTGCAGTTAATTAAGATTTTAGAAAATAGAAGTAAAAGTTGAAATCTTACTAATTTAAAGGTAAAGTTTACTTAGTTTTCATCCAGTAGATTCCTTTAGATATGCATTTCTATTTTTTTTTCTTGGATATATTTTAAGTCTCAGGATCTCTATCAGTTTTAATTCACTTACCTTTACAGATGTCTAATTTTTCTTTTATGTAGCATTCTCTCACCAAGACCTCTGGATATAAAGTTGTTTCCATAAAGAAACAAAACCAAAGATTCATTTGCTCATGACCAGGTAAATACCTCTGTATTGTCACTGTTTACATACCATTCTTCTCAGTATGGGATAAAAATGTCTAATGGTTTCTTAGAATTAGTCTAATTTGTTCTTTATGGTTTTAAAGAATGGCCATATGTGTGTTGCATCTTGATCATTTCCCATCTCTTCCCTGTCTCCCAAGTCTGTCAGGTACATTAACTTGACCTGTCTTTGATATTTGGCCCTCCATCAAAATAATCATCCTTCAAAAATATTGCTATCAAATATGATTCTCACCTTTATATATTAGACATTCCTGGTCTCATCTACAATATTTCCAAAATGTACTTAGAATCCAGCTTAAAACATTTTGTGTAGATCTTTAGGTGTAGAACTAGACTGTATGCCTCCTGTGGACCAGGAACTAAATTCTTCCACCCCTCAATCTGATATACTTTGTGTTTAAATTTTTATTGGCTGAGTAGCGTATATATAGGATGTCTCATTTGTTTGTCTGAGACTAACTCCAAGAGACTGCATTATAATGAAGAAGCAGAACATTTTCACCACCTATTTTTTTTTTGTTCACCAATAAGCCTGTAGTTAGCCATGTCTACCACTAGATGGCACTCATGCTCTAATTAGCAATGCCATTTAAGTTCTGACCTAAGGATGTTCCGATTTTTTAGAGAACTGAGAGGAACCCCAAATTAGCAGTTGAAGCTATAAGACAAGTTGTATAGATTATATGACATGAAGTATCTAATAAATACATTGGCAAACTGCAAAATGTCAGAATGTTTCGAAGGTACCCTTACACTCAGTGGCAAAACAGGAGCTATTAACATTTGTTGAGGGCTAAGTATACACTAGGCATGTAAGCATGCTTGAGATGAAATGTTTAATTCTGTATTAATGAGCTAATGAAACACAAATCTAAGTAAAGTGCCTCCACCATAGTGTTCTTAACTTGTTCACTAAACAAATCCCCATTTTAATTTGAATAAAAGAATTAGAACACCACAAAACAAGTTGTTTGTATCATATCAGATTAACATACCTCACATATAAAGAATCCAATTAATGGGGAATAGTTTTAGCACAAGTGCAATGCAAGGTAAAATACAAGATTAAATTTAATTGACAGTTTGTGGCATTTGCATATACTCACCAGGATATATGGTTCATTCAATTGACATTTATTAGGAACCTACTACTTTAAGAACTGCACAGAGATGAATAAATTTACATATGAGATTTTGGCAAAAATTTTTGTATACAAATGTATAATCTCACATTCTAGTGTTTTACCTGAATATCTTATTCAACTTGCTAATTGGCATATAACAACCTGCAGTTTTGGAGGAAAATACATTGTTTTCACACATGCTGTTTTTTGGTTTTTGGTTTTTTTTCAGAAGAGACTGCGTTTTGTTATATCCGAGTTATTTGCCATAATCCTTATTTATATCTAGTTTTCTGTGTTTATGAGTTAGAAGATCTTTTCCCTGTTACCATATCAGGTTCAGCCTGGCACCTGGAATTGGAACTGTGTTCTTTATACCTGAACTACCATCGACCATCACTTATGGTAGTGATAAGGGGATCAGGGCTCAGCTGGGAATTCTTTTGATGACGCAGGAGGCTCCCTCTCCAACAGCTACATTGGCTTTGCTTGCTGACAATGGTAAAAACTTGCTTTGTGTCTGTGAACTCTCAAGATATAATTTATAAGCTATGCGAGTACAGACACAACACCAATATTTTATGCTTAAATAGCACCTTTCTTGTAAGGATCCCAAGCCCACTTAATGTGACAACAAATATTAATCAATGTATTATAGCTACATGACACTTCTTTTATACACCTCTTATTATTTCTGGTTACACAAATTTTATATGAAAGAAAAAAATCATAGACTGTGAACCTACTTTCATTATAATTGGTGATGAGCTGCTCCTGGTGTTATGAAAATAAATTACTTCAGGTGCCAAAGTACAATATAGTGCAATTTTATTATCAAACCTTAATTGATTATTAATTATCAGCTCACAAAGGGCTGACGGTCTTCTTGTAGTAAAGAGAAAGGAAGCTAGGTTGGACAGTCCCAAAGAAAGGCAAAAGGCTGAGCAAGGTGGCATCATGTCGGCTCAGGTGTTTCTGCTAAACGATGCTTGCTAATGAGGTAGCAAGATACTGATAAGAATCCAGAGCAGAAGAAATCATATCAGAACCCACTGGAAGCCAATATGAGACAAGAAAAACATGGCAATGCTTACTGAAAAATGACAGCAGTGGTGTTCTGTATTCACGGCAAGCCTTAGAATAATGCCAACAACAGTGACAAGGCCGGAAGGATACAAAGTATGGTCATTTTCCAGTGGAAATCTGCACAATTAATGTGTAACAAAGTATTTGTATTAATGAAAACTGTATATTTGACCAAGAGACATTTAAAAACAGTAATAGAATAGTCGCTAAAACCAGACCTTTTGGATATAACAAGAATAATGGAAAAATCAGTTTTCTAGCCAGATAGTATTTTTTTTTTTAAGTTGGGTGATAGTTATACTAAAAGCACAGATTTCAGCACAGGGCAATATATGCATGTAACAAAACCGCACTGCACTTCTAAGTCTATACAAATAAATTTTTACAAAATAAAAAATAAAATAAGGGCAAAACTACCTGACTTACGGACTCATGGACCACTCACTGGGAAGACTGAGACTTTATAGGCCATTTCCACTCCAAGCCCTCATCCCTTATTCCAGGTCTACTTTGCCTGTTAGCTATCCCTTGTGCGTGTTCTTCTTGGCAAAGCAGGGCACAACTGTGCCAACCCTCTAAAGTGAGCAAGCTGCAGCTGTCCCACTCATCTTCTCCTCAACATCCAAAATAGAATTGCAGACCTTTCCCCCAACCTTTTCCTTCTCTTTTTTTTCTTTTTTTTTTAATTATACTTTAAGTTTTTGGGTACGTGTGCACAACGTGCAGGTTAGTTACATATGTATACATGTGCCATGTTGGTGTGCTGCACCCATTAACTCGTCATTTAACATTAGGTATATCTCCTAATGCTATCCCTCCCCGCTCCCCCCACCCCACAACAGGCCCCGGTGTGTGATGTTCCCCTTCCTGTGTCCATGTGTTCTCATTGTTCAATTCCCACCTATGAGTGAGAACATGCGGTGTTTGTTTTTTTGTCTTTGCGATAGTTTGCTGAGAATGATGGTTTCCGGCTTCATCCATGTCCCTACAAAGGACATGAACTCATCATTTTTTATGGCTGCATAGTATTCCATGGTGTATATGTGCCACATTTTCTTAAACCAGTCTATCATCGTTGGACATTTGGGTTGGTTCTAAGTCTTTGATATTGTGAATAGTGCCGCAATAAACATACGTGTGCATGTGTCTTTATAGCAGCATGATTTATAATCCTTTGGGTATATACCCAGTAATGGGATGGCTGGGTCGAATGGTATTTCTAGTTCAGTATGGCCTGAATGAGAGTTCCAACTTCTACTCTCTTAGAGTACAGTTGATCCTTGACCAACACGGGTTTGAACTCCACGGTTCTATTTATACACAGGTTTTCTTCCACCTTTGCCACCCCTGAGACACCCCTCCTCCTCCCCTTCCTCCTCTTCAGCCTACTCAACAGGAAGACAAAGCCTTTTTTTTTTCTCTCTCTCTCTGAGTGGGAGCCTCACTTTGTTGCTGCCCAGGCTGGAGCGCAGTGACGGGATCTCGGCTCACTGCAATATCCACCTCCCGGGTTCAAGCGATTCTCCTGCCTCTGCATCCCTAGTAACTGGGACTACAGGCGCCTGCAAACCAAGCCTGGCTTTTTGTGTTTTAGTAGAGAAGGGGTTTCAACATATTGGCCAGGCTAGTCTCGAACTCCTGACCTCAATTGGTCTGCCCGTTCCAGCCTCCCAAAGTGCTGGGATTACAGGCATGAGCCACCGCGCCTGGCTGGGGATGAGTCTTTATGAGATGATCCTCTTCCACTTAATAAATACCAACTATGTTTTATTTTCCTTTTGGTTTTCTTAACATTTTTTCTCTAGTTTATTTCATTGTAAGAATGCCATATATAATACATACGCCATACAAAATATATGATAATCAACTGTTTATGTTCTTGGTAAGTCAATAGTAGGGTATTAATAGTTAAGCTGTGGGGGAGTCAAATGCTATATGCAGATTTTTGTGTGGGAGTTGGTGCCTCTAACTCTTGCATTATTTAAGGGTCAATGGTAGTTGGTAATAACACAAAGCTTATCCTGATTTGTTCTCAATGGCAATAGTTACTACAATATGAAAATACGCTCTGTATGAAGCTATGGAAAATACATTTCTTTTTAAAGTCTAAATTGTTGGCTTTCATATTCTGATATGGAGCAAAACATGTTTGTGCTTCATACTTCACTAACCCGTAACTGCAGATAATGCACACACATATTGAATAAATGAAAGCACAGGAATCATTATTAATATTAAAGAAATGTTAACATGGCAGCCTGAAAGAATTAGGAGGTATTCTCTCTGACATCTTAGTTGGACCCAGGTTCTTAGTGGAGGTACGGCTTTGCTTACGGACAGCAAAAATGAATCTAGTAGAAATAGTCACGAACATTAAGCTTGTCTTTCTCAAAGTACCTAAATTTGAGTTAGGATATTTTATTGTATATATTTAAGATGTATAACATGATGCTTTGAGAGATATAGATTTTTTACATGTGTATACATGTGTATATGTATGTGTGTATAATTATTATAGTTAAGCAAATTAGCCTATCAATCATTATGCTGTGCAATTTATTATTTTTATTATTATTTATTAGGCATTCGTCCTACATAACTGCAAGTTTGTACTTTCTGGCCTGCTTCTTCCCATTTCCAGCACTCCCCGCCCTGCCCCAGTAATGACTATTTTTTAGATGCCACATATGAGATTATGCAGTATTTTTCATTCTGCATGTGGCTTATTTTAGTTAACATTATGTCCTCTTTTTCTCACTATAAATCAGTGTTAAGATTATTTCCTATAAAATAAAATTTCCAAATAAGTATCTACACTCTTATATAAAAGCTCAAACAAAATAAAAAAGAGTTTATTGTTACGTCTCTCAAAGCAATTTGAATTTTAACTAAAAGCCTTCTTAATATAAAATTTTCTTATTAATTAACAGTTTAAAAAGAGCAAAAAGACAAAGGTGTTCCAATTGTTGCTCAAATTATACTTTACATGAGTAAATATTTCTTCCTTCTATTTCCTATATGGGGATTTTTTTTCTCACGATAAGTATTATTGAATAACTATATATTTTAGGAAAGAGTTCTGAAATGAATTTTTATTGACAAGATTGTAACCCGAGGTTCTCTATGCCACTGTTACTTGGATAGGCATATTTCAATTTTTTACATGATAGATTGATTTGGTAATTAATACAGATTGTTATTTTTAAATTCCACACCTTCTTTTAACAAACTTTTAAAATGACTGATTCCATGACAACTGTGTCACATGCAAAGATACACCATCTTTACTTTCAAGGAGTTTATAGTCCAGACATGTAAATGCAATGTTCAATATCGTTTAACAGAGATACCCTCAGGCTAGTGTAGGAACACACGGTGAACGCCGTGCTCCTCAACATGCATGGAGGGGAGGAGCGCTTCATGGAGATCATGCAATTGAAGAAGAATTGGCTGGAGGTGATTAAAAATACCTGTATCTGCATCTATCTATATCTGTACATCTACATCTTTTTGATTTTGCCAGTATCTATACCTATATTGATGTCTATAACTCTATTTATGTCAATATCTATATACATCCCATATCATAGGAGCATAGTGTGTTGCCTCAGGTTCATGTGTTTAGTAAATTTAAAATTAGTCAGTGTGGGTAGATGCTGTAGCTCCTGGAAAGTGCAGAGTGGAAGATGACATTGGAATAAGTAGCAGCTGCATAAAAAAGGGACTTTTACGGCATCTTAAATAATTGGAATCATTGCAAAGTTTAATCAAGAGGAGGTAAATATATAAATAGGACTGAAGCAGAAAAAGCGATTGGGAGCTATTATACTATTTGAAGTCATGGATGATAAAAAGAATGAACTAAAAAATGTGGCTGGGCAAGGGATGGCTTTTAGGATAAGGAATAAGAAGGAGTCGGGGACTAATTGATTGTGGGAAAGGGTGACAAAGAAGGGTCACTCTGCATCTTCTGAGAAAGTAGAACTACAGGAACATGGTGAACAAAATAGATAAGAAATAGACTGTAACCTCACAGAGCTGAGCTTTCATTGGTGTATGTAGACCAGTAAATAAGATGTCCAACACAGTCCATTGTGCTGAGTGGAACAAAAAGGTAATTCCACTTTCTCGAACATAGTGGGTTTAGCTGAGACGGAGACACATATTTAAAGGATAGAAAATGAGTCCCGTTTGGGAGATAGTGACATAGATTCAATTGTGCAATACTTAGGAAGCTGTACTATATAATACTGAGTACCTGTAATTAAAGGTCAGAGATGCTGTTTTGAAAGTAGTTCGGTAGAGTTGGTAGCTGACATAAGGAAGAAATAAGATTTGCCTTTTCAGAATGACGGCAAGGCAAGAGGTTAGGGCCAAAAATGGAAACTTGGAGAAGGCTTCATTTTAGAGTAAGAGCCCATAATGGACACTGAGAAGGCAATATCACGTAGGTAGGAGGAAAACCGCGTAAAAGGTTGTCAAGGAAGCCAGGGCAGGAAAGAATTTCAAGAAGGAAGGCATGCATGAGTGTGTCCTATTTAAATAAGTTAAAAAAGGCAAGAAAGGAAAACTGATTTTTCACTTAGCAGTGAGGAGTTTGGGAATATACACAGCTGTATTACAGCTATGAAACATGCCTCAAAAGCTATGAATAAAATAAAGAGGGCATCAACATTTGGATATATTTGTTTTAATAATAATATAGAAAAAGAAAGAGTGAAAAAATGTTCTACCTGATGCCACTTTTTTTTTTCTGAGTTAAACTTGAAATCAACAATACTATAGTTTTGAAGAGGTTTTTTTCCCCACTGGAGATAAAATAAATCATAACCCATCATCCATCTTGTCACCTTTTTCTGTTGTTGGAAGGGAATTCAGTTTCTAGCAACTAATCCATATATGAAGTATATATATAAATTTTGTGTACACATATATATATGACACTGTATTCATATATTTTAAGAATGATATGTTCTTAAAGCAAAAACCACATGACAACACAGAGCTGTTATCACCCAATGAACACGACGTTATAATAACACTTGTCAATTCCCAATTGAGAGAATCTAGGCGGCTTGAATATTTAAGGAATACATCTAAGACACAGGGACACTTATTTTCATTTCATATTTGACCCAAATAGAATGATTTTTCTTGAATAAAATCCAGTTAAGATTAATCATATCTTATTATTACCTAATTTCATTATTAATAAGTGAATGTAGCTAAAATATATTGTCACATTCTTAATTATAAAATGCTGTCCAGTATATGTTCATTGTCACTAATGATTAGAGTTATAAATAATAAAATTTTAAAACTCAAATCAATTTTTCTAGATATGAATAGGATATTATATATAACATTTCTCTAACAAATAAAAATAAGAGTTCTTCATTCAGGACTGAACCTATACAATTTACTCAGAAATTATTTGCTAAACGCTGAAATAGCAAAATATAAAGAAAAAAAGAAAATGTATTTCAGACTGACTATGAGACCACCAAAACAAATTAAAATATATCCTAGGTGTTTTCAGAGAGTGAGAAAAAAGGCAAATTAATAACGAGATATAGTTCTTTACTCAAATAATGAAAAATGCTTTTCTGAAAACATTTTACTTTCCATACAAAATAATGGACTGGCATGTCGTTTTTTGCTTTAAGAACATGTCATTCTTAAATGATCCTGAACTGTTATCATATCATCATAATGTGAAATTATTTTTGCAACCTCTTTTGAGCTCATTATAAGTTAATTTGCCATATGCATTTTAAAAATATATTTTCACTTTCTGGAAATTAATGTTTAAATTTGGTCTTCCAACATTTTTATTTAACGTATAAAAGGTGATCAGAATACACACATTTTGGTTTATGCTTGTAGACATGAATTTTAATTAACTCAGCAGCAGCTGATAATAAGATTATTAGCATGTACAAAGTGTGCAGTTAATAGAAGCAGAACTAGAGGCAATTAGTGGAATTAGGTGTTTTTTCTATGGAGAAAGAGTCCTAAATACTAATTGTTTATGCCAGTCCAATCACTGCAAATATCACTAATAGCATCATTAAATCAATGTAACACTACATTATAAGCACTAAATTGACTTACTGATTTGGTATCAGATTGGTGCAATAATGAGCTTATTAGTATTTTCCATGACTTATGTATATACACTGGGACAACTTAGATGTTTTGCAGTAAACATTTATTTTTCTTTTTGAAAGACAGGCTTACTGTGACATTGGCACAGTGTCTCTATGTCACATACATTTAAATCATTTAGTGATTTTTCAAAGGTTTTTAATTATTTTTATGTACTTAGTTTATTAATAAAGATCTTATAACTGTCATGAAATAAAAATGTTGTGCCCTTATAATTGCTAAAGTGGAATGTAAAAAATTTAGTATTAATTATTACTTTTTTAAACTTGAAAGTCCAAGTATTTTTCTTTTTATGCTTCATTTTGGTTGCCCATGAATGTGGTTTTGAGATAGTTGCAGACTTCCAATCCTTTGCTGTGATTTATTTATTCCTAAAGAAGAGACATTTTTGTCTATAAGACATGCCAAGTGAGATACAGAGAACTAACATATCCCTTCAATTCTGTTTGCAATGTGTTCTTTGTCCTCTTTCTTTCATTTATTCTTCCTCCTTTATCTTTTCCATTCTTTGGAACCCCCAAAAAAACAGTGACCTCTGTATCCTGATAAGTATATTTATTTAAAAGTATTTAGGGCTGAAATTCTCAAATTTTATGGTCTCAGAGCCACTTTGCACTCTGAAAATATATTAAAGTCCCTAAAAAGGTTCTATTGCTGATGAATACATTTATTAATATTTACTACGTAAGAAATTAAAATTGAAATAAGTTAAATATATAGTTATATATTAATTTATTTAAAATAGCAATAAAATGAACCATTTAATGCTAGCATAAATAACAGTTTAATAAAAAAGACTATATTTTTAAAACAAAAATGGTGAAAAGAGTCACCTCGTTTTATAGTTGTCAGAACTTTAAAAATATCAGCCTTAATAGAAGGAAGATGGTTATTCATCTATGTTTCTGCATTTAATCTTTTGCAATATTACATGGGATATAGCTGCTGGAAAACTCCAGTGTACACTCATGGAAGAACTAAAAGCAAAAAGGTAAATAACATTTTAGCATTGCTATTAAATAGTATGACTTCATGTACCCCATGAAACGGTGTTTGAGACGCCAGAAACCTAGGAAACTCTGCAAAATCACTAGTTTTGAACGTACAAGTCAGCTGGGCGCGGTGGCTCACGCCTGTAATCGCAGCACTTTGGAAGGTTGAGATGGGCGGATCACGAGGTTAGGAGATCGAGACCATCCTGACTAATGCGGTGAAACCCCATCTCCACCAAAAATACAAAAAAATTAGCCGGGCGTGGTGGCGGGCGCCTGTAGTCCCAGCTACTAGGGAGGCTGAGGAAGGAGAATGGCGTGAATCCAGGAGGCAGAGTTTGCAGTGAGCCGAGATTGCGCCAATGCACTCCAGCCTGGGCGACAGAGCCAGAATCCGTCTCAATGAAAAAAAAAAAAAAAAAAAAAAAAAAAAAGAAAGAAAGTATAAGTCTTGTAAAGCAGAATGATTTTACTAATTGTGCCAATAGATTAATAACAATTATTACTATCTCCATATACATTTATGTGTCTAGATTTGTCTTCACTTACATCAATTTAAATAGCTACTATATATTCACTATATAGAAAGTGTTTAGCTATCTAGGTTGTAGGACTACAGAGCTCCAATGGTAATATTCTTGAGCCAGTATTTTGTAAAATGTTCTTTTCTGTGTTTTGTGCTTGAGCATGTGCTTAAGCAATGTAACACAAAATTTCATATAATCAGCAGAAAAATTATCAGTAAAATATTTTAAAATCTCTCTCTCACACACACACACACATGCACTTCTTAGTTAAGAGAATATAACATAATGGCATATTTACTTAAAATTTTTTTTTATTCTAAGGACAAAATGAATCAAATGAACCCACAGAAATTTGAGCTATCTTCAGCTAAGTCTGAGCACAGTTATAATTAAATAATCATCAGACTTGCGTAGAAAATTGAAAGGCAGTTTAAGTATTTAAGACTCTGTAAAGCATTAAAGAAGCAAATCTCCTAAGACACAGAAAAATTTTAATGTTTTTCTACAAGCTCTCTCTCCAAGCCCCTTTCCACAAGTCTTCTCTCAACATTTTATAAGCCTTCAGTTGCCATCAAAAGCTCTTATTTTCTAAGTATTCTCAGTTTCAGATCACATATAATCCTGTTTGAGTTTGCTTACTTCCCTTTTTTTTTTTTTTTTTTGGCTTTCCCATTATTCTCTTCTTTACTCTTTTTACAACTCTGCATTCATGATGTGACTATTGATTTCCTTGCTCTTCCAGTTCTATTTCCCCTCCCATTACCAACAATGCAGACAGCGAAAGCCCAGGGGCTGAGCAGGCAGAGATATAACATTCTGTAGAAGGTGAGGTGGGTAGGAGGAAAGGCCATGAATACTTACAATTTTTGTTCTTCTTGTAAAAGCAAAATAATGAATCCCAAAATGTAAAATAAAAGATGTTAATTCACCTCTGTCCATTATTATGGCTTCAGCTTTTTTATAGAACATTCTACTTGATTCTGGATGCATAGCCATTTTGAAGGATTGATCAGTGCGTAACTAAGAATGCAAGTACTTTAAAAAGTAACTGAGTCTCTCACCCAATCCTAAAATGCTATATTCATGAAGTGGGAGAAGAGGGGTGTTCTGAAGGCACTTTCATGCCAAGAAATGGCACCTCTATTCCTGTCCCCTGTGGGGAAAGTTTATTTTTAGCTCATACTTCCATCAGAAAGTTACTCCCCTGCAACAAAGAAAAGTTTTTTGGATATGTCCCTCTTTTATTCATTAACAAAGAAATTAATGTGCAGAAGGCAGAGGACCCTCAGTTTTGAGAAAGGCAGAGCCCAACAGATACCATGTCTAAGTTAATAAGCAAAGATATCAGTTAACAAAACAAAACAGAACATGTACAGGATAAAACCCAAATCTTACTGATCATATTAATAATAAATAAATCATAAATATTATTAAACTGTAAATAATTTATAAACAAAGATAGGAACATTTAGAAAACAAAGTAAACTCTACCATGACTCTATAAATGATATTCAAAAATTCAATTGCATAAAATGGTCACATTACTGCTGAGCATAGGCGAGTCCCTTTTTATTTATATTTTATTCAAATTCACAATATGAAGTGACACATTAATGAAAGCTTCTTAAAGTTACACATGATAAGCTAATTGTAAAAATGGTGGGGTAGTATTTACCAAAGGCTAGGAAAGTAATTTTTTATAAGATACCAAAGTTAAAAGTCATATGATTAACAATTGATTTCTATTCAATGTAAGTTAGTTAAAGTGAAGAAACACATGCGGCTGGGAGAAGATGTTTATGTCATCTAAAATGGCCAAGGCATGGGCAAAGACTTCATGACGAAAACACCAAAAGCAATTGCAACAAAAGCCAAAATTGACAAATGGGATCTAATTAAGTAAACATTTAACTAAATATAATAAAACTAAAGAGCTTCTGTACAGAAGAAGAAACTATCATCAGAGTGAACAGGCAACCTACAGAATAGAAGAAAAGTTTTGCAATCTACCCATCTGACAAAGGTCTAATACCCAGAATTTACAAGGAACTTAAATTTACAAGAAAAAAAAACATCAAAAAGTGGGCAAAGGATATGAACAGACACTTCTCAAAAGAAAACATTTACGTGGCCAAAAAACATGAAAAAAGCTCAACATCATTGGGTATTAGAGAAATGCAAATGAAAACCACGATGAGATACCATCTCATGCCAGTCAGAATGGCAATTATTTAAAAGTCAAGAAAAAAAAGATACTGGTGAGGCTATGGAGAAATAGGAACACTCTTACACCGTTGGTGGGAAGGTAAATGAATTCAACCATTGTGGAAGACAGTATGGCGATTCCTCAAGGATCTAGAACCAGAAATACCATTGACCCAGCAATCCCATTACTGGGTATATACCCAAAAGAATATAAATCATGCTACTATAAAGACACATTCACACATGCACATGTATGTTTATTGCAGCACTATTTACAATAGCAAAGACATGGAACCAACCCAAATGCTCATCAATGATAGACTGGATAAAGAAAATGTGGTACATATACATTATGGGACACTATGCAGCCATTAGGAAGGAATTAGATCATGTCCTTTGCAGGGACATGGATGAAGCTGAAAGCCACTATCCTCAACAAACTAACACAGGAACAGAAAACCAAACACTGCATGTTCTCACTCATAAGTGGGTCTTGAACAATGAGAACATGTGGACACAGGTTGGGGAACTACACACACCAGGGTCTGTTGAGGGGTGGGAGGCATGGGGACCGAATTAACAGGACAGATCAATAGGTGCAGCAAACAACCATGGCACGTGTATACCTATGTAACAAACTTGCATGTTCTGCACATGTATCCCGAACTTAAAGTAAAATAAAAATAAAAATGAAATGGCCAAGGGATAAATATCTATAATGTACATATTAGTCTGTTTTCATACTGCTATTAAGAACAGCCTGAGACTGGGTAATTTATAAAGGGAAGAGGTTTAATTTAATCACAGTTCAGCATGGCTGGGGAGGCCTCAGGAAACTTACAATCATGGTGGAAGGTGAAGGGGATGCAAAGCACCTTGTTCACAAGGCAGCAGGAAGGAGAGGTGCCCAGCCATGGGGGAAGAGTCCTTTATAAAACCATCAGATCTCATGAGAACTTACTCACTATCATGAGAACAGCATGGGAGAAACTGCTCCCATAATGCAGTTGCCTCTACCTGGTCTCTCCCTGGACACATGGGGATCATGGGATTACAACTCAAGATGAGATTTGGATGAAGACACAAGCCTAACCACATCAATGTACTAAAGAATATCTAAATCAAATAAAAATAATTAGAAAAACCATTATAAGGTGACAAGAGATATTAATGAGCAGTTTAGAGAACTATAGGCTTGAATGGCTAAAAAGCATATAAAAAGATACTTGAATCTACTAGATATTAGAGAAACCCAGACCAAAAGCAATTGTAAGATTCTAGTTTACATGTACCTTGAACGGTAGAAATATGTATAATTTCTAGTAAATTGTAAAAACAAGAGGAGATAGATTTTAGGCCCTGGTGTAAGTGTGTAAAAATGACCATTCGTAGAATCCAGTTAGTACTCTTTATCAAAATACGGCATGCTTAAGCCTGATACGCTAGATATTGTTTATTGAAAACAAACTGTAATCTCCACTCTCCTCTATATTTTATCATATGTCACGGAAGATGGAAGTAGGGAAATACATTTTCCAAAATTTAGTGCTATTGTAGATCTTTCAACAAAAAGCACTCACACGTGATTCAGAAGGTGTACAGGATACAGTGTGACAGCAGCAGGCAATGGTATGGGATTCAGCAGATGTGAGATTTTCGTAGCAACTTCCATGTGTGTTCTTGAGAATTACCCACCCATGAACATTGGAGGTGCTTTCCTCGAGGTCCTCACATTCCTGATGTCATGGAAGATGGGAAGCAATCTGAAACCCAACAGAAAACTTTTCTGACATTATCTACGCAAACTCTTCCAATTCTCTGTATGAAATCCTATTCTCTAAATCACTGTGGTGGTCTCTCACCATATCTTTACTGATACATAAACTAATATGGGCATATTATCCCATTAAAAGAATCTACCCTTTCTTTTTTTTTTTATTATACTTTAAGTTCTAGGGTACACGTGCACAACGTGCAGGTTTGTTACATATGTATACATGTGCCATGTTGGTGTGCTGCACCCATTAACTCGTCATTTACATTAGGTATATCTCCTTATGCTATCCCTCCCCCTCAACAACAGGCCCCGGTGTGTGATGTTCCCCTTCCTGTGTCCAAGTGTTCTCAATGTTCAATTCCCACCCATGAGTGAGAATATGCGGTGTTTGGTTTTTGTCCTTGCGATAGTGTGCAGAGAATGATGGTTTCCAGCTTCATCCATGTCCCTACAAAATACATGAACTCATCCTTTTTTATGGCTGCTTAGTATTCCATGGTGTATATGTGCCACATTTTCTTAATCCAGTCTATCATTGATGGACATTTGGCTTGGTTCCAAGTCTTTGCTATTGTGAATAGTGCCGCAATGAACATACGAGTGCCTGTGTCTTTATAGCAGCATGATTTATAATCCTTTGGGTACATACCCAGTAATGGGATGGCTGGGTCAAATGGTATTTCTGGTTCTAGATCCTTGAGGAATTGCCACTGTCTTCCACAAAGGTTGAACTAGTTTACACTCCCACTAAGAGTGTAAAAGTGTTCCTGTTTCTCCACATCCTCTCCAGCACCTGTTGTTTCCTGACTTTTTAATGATCGCCATTCTAAATGGTGTGAGATGGTATGTCATTGTGGTTTTGATTTGCATTTCTCTGATGGCCAGTGATGATGAGCATTTTTTCATGTGTTTTTTGGCTGCATAAATGTCTTCTTTTGAGAAGTGCCTGCTCATATCCTTCACCCACTTTTTGATGAGGTTGTTTGCCTTTTTCTTGTAAATTTGTTTGAGTTCTTTGTAGATTCTGGATATTAGCCCTTTGTCAGATGAGTACATTGCAAAAATTTTCTCCCATTCTCTAGGTTGCCTGTTCACTCTGATGGTAGCTTCTTTTGCTGTGCAGAAGCTCTTTAGTTTAATTAGATCCCATTTGTCAATTTTGGCTTGTGTTGTCATTGCCTTTGGTGCTTTAGACATGAGTCCTTGCCCATGCCTATTTACTGAATGGTATTGCCTAGGTTTTCTTCTAGGGTTTTTATGGTTTTAGGTCTAACATGTAAGTCTTTAATCCATCTTCAATTAATTTTTGTATAAGGTGTAAGGAAGGGATCCAGTTTCAGCTTTCTACATATGGCTAGCCAGTTTTCCCAGCACCATTTATTAAAAAGGGAATCCTTTCCCCATTTCTTGTTTCTGTCAGATTTGTCAAAGATCAGATGGTTGTAGATGTGTGGTATTATTTCTGAGGGCTCTGTTGTGTTCTGTTCCATTGGTCTATATCTCTGTTTTGGTACCAGTACCATGCTGTTTTGGTTACTGTAGCCTTGTAGTATAGTTTACAGTCAGGTAGCATGGTGCCTCCACCTTTGTTCTTTTGGCTTAGGATTGTCTTGGCAATGCAGGCTCTTTTTTGGTTCCATATGAACTTTAAAGTAGTTTTTTTCCAATTTTGTGAAGAAAGTTATTGGTAGCTTGATGGGGATGGCCTTGAATCTATAAATTACCTTGGGCAGTATGGCCATTTTCATGATATCGATTCTTCCTATCCATGAGCATGGAATGTTCTTCCATTTGTTTGTGTCCTCTTTTATTTCGTTGAGCAGTGGTTTGTAATTCTCCTTGAAGAGGTCCTTCACATCCTTTGTAAGTTGGATTCCTAGGTATTTTATTCTCTTTGAAGAAATTGTGAACGGGAGTTCACTCATGATTTGGCTCTCTGTTTGTCTGTTATTGGTGTATAGGAATGCTTGTGGTTTTTGCACATTGATTTTGTATCCTGAGACTTTGCTGAAGTTACTTATCAGCTTAAGGAGATTTTGGGCTGAGACAATGGGGTTTTCTAAATATACAGTCATGTCATCTGCAAACAGGGACAATTTGACTTCCTTTTTTCCTAATTGAATGCCCTTTATTTCTTTCTCCTGCCTGATTGCCCTGGCCAGAACTTCCAACACTATGTTGAATAGGAGTGGTGAGTGAGGGCAACCCTGTCTTGTGCCAGTTTTCAAAGGGAATGCTTCCAGTTTTTGCCCATTCAGTAAGATATTGGCTGTGGGTTTGTCATAAATAGCTGTTATTATTTTGAGATATGTCCCATCAATACCTAATTTATTGAGAGGTTTTAGCATGAAGGGATGTTGAATTTTTTTCAAAGGCCTTTTCTGCATCTATTGAGATAATCCTGTGGTTTTTGTCTTTGGTTCTGTTTATATGCTGTATTATGTTTATTGATTTGCATATGTTGAACCAGCCTTGCATCCCAGGGATGAAGCCCACTTGATCATGGTGGATAAGTTTTTGATGTGCTGTTCAATTCGGTTTGCCAGTATTTTATTGAGGATTTTTGCATCAATGTCCATCAGGGATATTGGTCTAAAATTCTCTTTTTTTGTTGTGTCTCTGCCAGGCTTTGGTATCAGGATGACGCTGGCCTCATAAAATGAGTTAGGGAGGATTCCCTCTTTTTCTATTGATTGGAATAGTTTCAGAAGGAATAGGAGCAGCTCCTCCTTGTACCTCTGGTAGAATTCCGCTGTGAATCCATCTGGTCCTGGACTTTTTTTTGTTTGGTAGGGTATTAATTATTGCATCAATTTCACAGTCTGTTATTGGTCTATTCAGGGATTCAACTTCTTCCTGGTTTAGTCTTGGGAAGGTGTATGTGTCCAGAAATTTATCCATTTCTTCTAGATTTTCTAGTTTATTTGTGTAGAGGTGTTTATAGTATTCTCTGATGGTAGTTTGTGTTTCTGTGGGATCAGTGGTGATATCCCCTTTATCATTTTTTATTGCATCTATTTGATTCTTCTCTCTTTTCTTCTTTATTAGTCTTGCTAGTGGTCTATCAATTTTGTTGATCTTTTCCAAAAAAACCAGCTCCTGGATTCATTGATTTTTTGAAGGGTTTTTTGTGTCTCTATCTCCCTCAGTTCTGCTGTGATTTTAGTTATTTCTTGCCTTCTGCTAGCTTTTGAATGTGTTTGCTCTTGCTTCTCTAGTTCTTTTAATTGTGATGTTAGGGTGTCAATTTTAGATCTTTCCTGCTTTCTTTTGTGGGCATTTAGTGCTATAAATTTCACTCTACATACTGCTTTAAATGTGTCCCAGAGATTCTGGTATGTTGTGTCTTTGTTCTCATTGGTTTCAAAGAACATCTTTATTTCTGCCTTCATTTCGTTATGTACCCAGTAGTCATTCAGGAGCAGGTTGTTCAGTTTTCATGTAGTTGAGCGGTTTTGAGTGAGTTTCTTAATCCTGAGTTCTAGTTTGATTGCACTGTGGTCTGAGAGACAGTTTGCTATAATTTCTGTTCTTTTACATTTGCTGAGGAGTGATTTACTTCCAACTATGTGGTCAATTTTGGAATAAGTGCAGTGTAGTGCTGAGAAGAATGTGTATTCTATTGATTTGAGGTGGAGAGTTCTGTAGTTCTCTATTAGGTCCGCTTGGTGCAGAGCTGAGTTCAATTCCTGGATATCCTTTTTAATTTCTGTCTCGTTGATCTGTCTAATGTTGACATTGGGGTGTTAAAGTCTCCCATTATTATTGTGTGGGAGTCTAAGTCTCTTTGTAGGTCACTCAGGACTTGCTTTATGAATCTGGGTGCTCCTGTATTGGGTGCATATATATTTAGGATAGTTAGCTCTTCTTGTTGAATTGATCCCTTTAACATTATGTAATGGCCTTCTTGTCTCTTTTGATCTTTGTTGGTTTAAAATCTGTTTTATCAGAGACTAGGATTGCAACCCCTGCCTTTGTTTGTTTTCCATTTGCTTCGTAGATCTTCCTCCATTCCTTTATTTTGAACCTATGTGTGTCTCTGCACGTGAGATGAGTCTCCTGAATACCGCACACTGATGGGGCTTTACTCTTTATCCAAGTTGCCAGTCTGTGTCTTTTAATTGGAGCATTTAGCCCATTTACATTTAAGGTTAATATTGTTATGTGTGAATTTGATCCTGTTGTTATAATGTTAGCTGGTTATTTTGCCGTTAGTTGATGGAGATTCTTTGTAGCGTCAATCATCTTTACAATTTGCATGTTTTTGCAGTGGCTAGTATCGGTTGTTCCTTTCCACGTTTAGTGCTTCCTTCAGAAGCTCTTTTAGGGCAGGCCTGGTGGTGAGAAAATCTCTCAGCATTTGCTTGTCTGTAAAGAATTTTATTTCTCCTTCATTTATGAAACTTAATTTGGCTGGATAAGAAATTCTGGGTTGAAAATTTTTCCCTTTAAGAATGTTGAATATTGGCCCCCACTCTCTTCTGGCTTGTAGAGTTTCTGCTGAGAGATCTGCTGTTAGTCTGATGGGCTTCCCTTTGTGGGTAACCCGACCTTTCTCTCTGGCTGCCCTTAACATTTTTTCCTTCATTTCAACTTTGGTGAATCTGACAATTACGTGTCTTGGAGTTGCTTTTCTCGAGGAGTATCTTTGTGGCATTCTCTGTATTTCCTGAATTTGAATGTTGGCCTGCCTTGCTAGGTTGGGGAAGTTCTCCTGGATAATATCCTGCAGAGTGTTTTCCAAATTGATTCCATTCTCCCCGTCACTTTCAGGTACACCAATCAGATGTAGATTTGGTCTTTTCACATAGTCCCATATTTCTTGGAGGCTTTGTTCATTTCTTTTTACTCTTTTTTCTCTAAAATTCTCTTCTTGCTTCATTTCATTCATTTGATCTTCAATCACTGATACCCTTCCTTCCAGTTGATCGAATCAGCTAATGAAGCTTGTGCATTCATCATGTAGTTCTCGTGCCATGGTTTTCAGCTCCATCAGGTCATTTAAGGACTTCTCTACACTGTTTATTCTAGTTAGCCATTTGTCTAATCTTTTTTCAAGGTTTTTAGCTTCTTCGCGATGGGTTTGAACTTCCTCCTTTAGCTCGGAGTAGTTTGATCATCTGAAGGCTTCTTTTCTCAGCTTGTCAAAGTCATTCTCCATCCAGCTTTGTTCCATTGCTGGCAAGGAGCTGCGTTCCTTTGGAGAGGGAGAGGTGTTCTGATTTTTAGTATTTTCAGCTTTTCTGCTCTGTTTTTCCACCATCTTCATGGATTTTTCTACCTTTGGTCTTTGATGATGGTGACGTACAGATGGGGTTTTAGTGTGGATGTCCTTTCTGTTTGTTAGTTTTCCTTCTAACAGTCAGGACCTTCAGCTGCACTCCTGTTGGAGTTTGCTGGAGGTCCACTCCAGACACTGTTTGCCTAGGTGTCAGCAGCAGAGGCTGCACAGCAGCGAATATTGCTGAACAGCAACTGTTGCTGCCTGATCGTTCCTCTGGAAGCTTCGTCTCAAAGGGGTACATGGCCATGTTAGGTGTCAGTCTGCCCCTACGGGGTATGCCTCCCAGTTAGGCTACTCGGGGGTCAGGAACCCATTTGTGGAGGCAGCCTGACCGTTCTCAGATCTCAAACTCTGTGCGGGGAGAACCACTCCTCTCTTCAAAGCTGTCAGACAGGGACATTTAAGTCTGCAGAGGTTTCTGCTGCCTTTTGTTCGGCTATGCCCTGCCCCCAGAGGTGGAGTCTACAGAGGCAAGCTGGCCTCCTTGAGCTGTGGTGGGCTCCACCCAGTTCGAACTTCCTGGCCGCTTTGTTTACCTACTCAAGCCTCAGCAATGACGGGCGCCCCTCCCCCAGCCTTGCTGCCGCCTTGCAGTTTGATCTCAGACCGTTGTGCTAGGAATGAGCGAGGTTCTGTGGGCATGGGACCCTCCAAGCCAGGCACGGGATATAATCTCCTGGTATGCCGTTTGCTAAGACCATTGGAAAAGTGCATTATTAGGGTGGGAGTGACCCGATTTTCCAGGTGCCATCTGTCACAGCTTCCCTTGGCTATGAAAGGGAATTCCCTGACCCCTTGTGCTTCCTGGGTGAGGTGATGCCTTGCCCTGTTTCGGCTCACACTCGGTGGGCTGCACCCACTGTCCTGCACCCGCTGTCCGACAAGCCCCAGTGAGATGAACCCGGTACCTCAGTTGGAAATGCAGAAATCACCCATCTTCTGCATCGCTTACACCGGGAGCTGTAGACTGGAGATGTTCCTATTCGGCCATCTTGGAACTGTCCTCTTTATAGCAATGAATTTTTCTAGGCATCAAAATGGAGCATTACATGGAGAATGCCTCAGCAAAGCATGGTGAATGCAATACTGTGGAGCAGTAGAAACATGGCTATACCTCAAAAATAGTGTCAAAAAGGAAAATAATGTGATTTATATTTAAATATCATGTCTGTAAATTAAAGCACACATATCACAACATTACATATGTTATGTTTCACGCATATTTCAGAACACATTAATTCAGGAGAGTGGGAACAGATGAGGATGGAGGAGTATAGAAAAGCAGATCAGAGGAAAGGGAGAACTAAAATAAAGTGGAATTGATGATATAAAATGAAGTAAAGTAAAACACAAAAGGGATAGCTTTGAATAGACAGACCTATGAATATGGCATACTGTGAACTGAAGAGTATGAAAGAATATAAACTGTCTTTACACCTAAGGATCATAAAGGAAGCAATAATGAGAATACAGAAAAAGTCTTCTATCAGTGATTGTTTTATCCACATTCACACTCTTACTCCAAGTTTGTTTTTCATTACACTGCTTTATTTTTTTGTAATAAAAATTTAGATTTTCAAAACTTGGTTCCCCTCAATAGATGTACATCTCTTAGGATATTTTCTTTAAACTTTTTGGTGTACCTACATCCATACTCTGTAAATACCTATATAGTCTAAATGATTGAATTAATCAAAAATATAGGAGCTTCTGACATTTTGGATATAGTTTCTGCTCTTCAACATTTTTCACTGATTTTTATGTTGAATACATATTTATAAACAAATTAACATTTTAACCTTTAAAGATATTAAAGATGTTAAAAGTGTTAACCCAAAGATAAAGAGATGCAAAATGTGGCAGTAATCTTATTTTTAAAATATCAGATTTGCTTTTTCTTCCCTAACCTGTAGAAAGCTTAGAGCATAGTAACTGACAAACACAGGCTTTCAACAAATGTTAGTTTCTCTCTCTCCCATAGGCTGACATCATTTTGCTTGCAGATAATTTATCATGAGTATAGAATATCTGATCATTCCATGCTAGCGAAACCTCAATTTTATTCAGAAATAACGTGTCCAGCTCCAAGGGATACATCTTCATTTGCCTGAGCCAATCATGGTGTTCCTATACCTCTGCTAGGTCCTAGGATTGGAATGGAACTCAATTTTGGCCAATAGCAGATAAAATATACTTCTGAGATTTAAGAAAAAAAAATGTTTCTCCCTGATTAAGTGTGAAGGTTAATTTTGTGTTAACTTGTGAGCTAAGGGATGCCCAGATAGATGGTAAGACAACTTCTGTGTATGTTTGTGAGGATGTTCTGAAAGAGGCCAGCATCTGACTTGGTGAGCTGGCTAAAGCAGATGTCCTTCCCCAACGTGGCTGAGCATATTCAATTCACTGAGAAAAAAACTGAACAAAATAAAAGATGGAGGAAGGGCAAATTTGCTCTCTGCTTGAGTTGAGTTATTCATCTTCTCCTGTATTTGCATAGTGAAGCTCCTGGTCCTTAAGCCTTCAGACTCAGACCTGAACTTACACCATCATCTAATAGGTCCCCTCCACCACCACAAGCCTTCAGACTTGGACTGAATTACACCACAGGCTTTCCTGGTTCCTCGGCTTGGAGACAGCAGATCATGGAACTTCTTATCTGAATAACTACATGAGCCAATTCCTAGAATAAATCTTTTATCTATACGTCTATACATCATCTATATTTATATCTATATCTAGATCTATCTATATCATCTATATCTATGTATCTTCTATTGGTTCTGTTTCTCTGGAGAACCCTGACTAATACACGAAGGCAAGAGTAGCATGAGGAGAATGCCCTTTGTCCCTCCTCACCTTTCCCCAACCTTCTGACATAGTCAATGAAAATGTGATTTCTCCGAGTATAGTAGACATCTTGCAGCTATAAAACAATGTGCCAGAGGATTAAAGCAAATGCTTAAGAAGGTGAAATGCTTAACGTGGTGAAAAGAAAAATAGAAATATGGCAATAAAATTTCTCATAGTTTGTTTGCTTTTCTTTAATTCTCTTTTCATACAGGCTCTAATATGTCACTTAATTTTTATAATTAAATTCAATGCTTATGAAATATAAAATAGAATATGACTCCAGAATTTTATAATTAATAAAAACAAACAGCCAATTATCGTATTATTTTCTATATTTATACAGTCTATTTGAAGGTAGAATTCTTCTTATAGAGATTTATAGTTAAGATGGCTCAGAGCTTAAAAATAAAGTTTTCAAAAATATTGTACAGCATAACAGTCTTACTCTGCAAAATCTACTAAATGCAACAGTTTGGAAAATTGTCACTTGAATCATTCTTACTAATTACAAAATTGGTTTGTTATATACTGGTATGAAAGATCCTTTAGGCCATAAGTCATCAATTAAAATATTAACAAGGCTGTTATCAAATAACTTATTTTTGGAAAAGAAGAACATGATTTAAAACCACTTGAGGGATTTTTTATTACTTCCTTTACATAATAATGTAATTTTATAATTAGTAATAAAATACATATAATTATGTCAAGGCTTTAAGTTTATAAAAATAATATTGCTTGTATACCAACAATTTTTTCTCCATTTTTAAACATCTACCATTTACTTTAATGCTGACGATTGCCTCCTGGCTTGCTCTTCTCTAATTGATTTTTTAAGCTACTACTTGTTTTCTTTATAAAATATAAACCTGGCAAGTCACATTAAAAAAAATACTTGACTTGCCCCTTATTTCATCTGAGTACAATCCAATATGGTTCATGGCCATACATGATTTGGCCACCATCTCTCTTCTGGGGATCACCTCACCCTACCAACCATCACCAGCATCTGCACACCCCTCCCAGGGGCCTAATGACCAGCCTGCCCATCCTATTGTCACAACCATTGTCAGCACCCACCTGCACATGTCACCTGGGAAACTAGTGACTGATTCACCCAGCCCATCACCACCACCACTGGCATCAGCACATTCTGCTACCTGCATGCCCAAGGGTTTGCCCACCACAACTACTGCTATCACTGACATTACATACACTGACCAGGATCTTAAGGACCCACCCACCCATCCAACCCACTGCTGCAGCTGCCAGCCCCAACCAAAATGCATGAAAGCCAAAGAATTAGCCCACCTGAACCTGTTAACTAACACCAGTGCCCACATATATTGCTTGGGACCAAAGAACAGGCATTCTACTTGGCCTGCCATCGCTGCCACAGGGGCACAAGACTGGCTTGACTCGGTGTTCCCTTCCTCAGTAAAGCCTTACCACAGCCTCCACTAACAAAAGCAGTCTAAGCCACAGAGGAAATTACAGATATCACTGATGCTGCTCACAGACAAAATACAGAGACTATGCTACTGCACACATCTAGAATTAAAGGTAAGGCAATCTACCCAAACAACACTATAGATAGGTCTACAGGAAAAAGTCTTTGCTTATGAAATCCAATACCAAAAACCAAATTGTTATAAGCAACTGTTACATCAGTTGAACAGATACCAATGTGAGGACACAAGAAACAGGAAAAAGCAAGGAAACACGGCACCTCCAAAAAACTGGAATAATTCTCATGCAACAAATTCAAACAAAAAAGAATCCAATAAATAGCCTTAAAAAGAATTCAAAATAAGGATACCAAAGAAGCTCAGTGAGTTTCAAGAGAAAACACATAAACAATTCCAGCAAACCAGAAAATCAATTTATGATCTAAATGAAACATTCAAAAAAGTGATAGATATCATAAAAAAGAACTAAACAGAACTTCTGGAAATGAAGAATTCAACGAATGAAATAAACAATATAACTGAGATCCTCAGCAATAGACTAGATCAAGCTAAAGAAAAAAATTCCATACTTGAAGATAGGTCTTTTGAAATAACTCAGTTGGATATAATCTTTTATCTGTATATTATTTTATTGTTTATTTCTCTATATAGAGAGAAAATAAAAGAAAATATAAAAATAATCAACTATAAGCAAGGCTATGTGACATATGGGATACCATAAAGCAGCCAAATGCTTTAATTTGGGGTGTTACAGGAGGAAAAGAGATGGAAAAGTATAGAGAAAACCTATTTGACAAAATGATCACTAAAAACTTCTGAAATCTTGCAAGCGATATAGACTTCCAGATACAGGAAGCTCAAACATCTGCAAATAGATTCAAATCAAAAAGATCTTACCAAGGCACATTATATTCAAATTGTCAAAAGTCAAAGACAAAGATAATTCTAAAACCAACAAGATAAATGTGTCATGTCACATATAAGAAAACTCCCATCAGACTAACAGTGAATTTCTTAGCAGGAACTTTACAGGCCAGGAGAGAATGAGATGATATGTTCGAAGTATTGAAGAAAAAACCTGACAGACAAGAATATTATACCCAGCAAAGCTACTATTCAAAAATAAAGGAGAAATGATGTCTTCCTCATACAAGCAGAAACTGAGAGAATTAATCACCATTAGACTGGCCCCACACAAAGTAGTTAAGGGAGTCCTACATCTGGAAATGAAAGGAAAATATTTACCATTATGAAAACACATGAAAGTATATATCTCACATACAGAGCAGACACACAAACAAGAAAGAGAAAGGATTCAAATGTTACTACTGTAAATAACTACCAAAACCACCAAACCTCAGTGTTAAACCAAAAGAAAGGAGCAAAGGATATACAACACAATCAATCAGGAGACAATTGGCGATATGACCTGAATAAGTCATTATCTGTCAATAATAACCTTGAACGTAAATGTATTATATTGTCCACTTAAATAATAAAGACTGACTGAATGGATTTTTTTCAAAGATCAAAATCTATGCTGCCTACAATAAACTCAAATCACCTATGAGGACACATATCAACTGAAAGTGAAGGAATGGAAAAAGATATCCCACACAAATGGAAACCAAAAGTGAGCAGGGTTAGCTATATTTATGTAAGATTAAAAACAGACTTTGCATAAAAACTGTAAAAAGAGAAAAAGAAAGATATTATATAATGATAAAGGAATCAGTTTGGCAAGAGGATATAACAATTCTAAATATATATGCACTCAACATCAAAACACTCATATATATAAAACAAATATTATTAAATCTAAAGCAAGACTTCAGTACAGTGGTGGGAACGTCAACACCCACTCTAAGCACCCACTCTAAGCACCTAGACAGAAAATCAACAATAAAACATTGGATTTAAACTGCACTACAGACCAAATGGACCTGACAGATATTTATAGAACATTTTATGCAACAGCTGCCGAATACACATTCTTCTCATCAGCACACGGAACATTCTCCAAGATAGACCATATGTTAGACCACAATGCAACTCTCAACAAAATTTATAAACTTAAAATAATATCAAGTATTTTCTAAGACCACAATAAGATAAATCTAGAAATCAGTAACAAGAGGAAATTTGAAAACTGTACAAGTAAATGGAAATTAAATAATATTTCCCTGAATTACCATTGGATCAATGAGAAAATTAAGAAGAATTAAAAAAAAACAAATGAAAATGGAAAACAACCTAATAAAACCTATATGATACAGCAAAGAACAGTGCTAAAGGGAAATCTATAGCAATAAATACCCACATCAGAAAAGTAGAAAAATTTCAAATAATCTAATTATGCACCTCAAGGAACTGGAAGATCAAGAACAAATAAAACTCAAAAACAGTAGAAGAAAAGAACAATAAAGATTGGAGCAGAACTAGCTGAAATAGATATAAAAAAACCAATGGATCAAGGAAATGAAAACTTGTCTTTTTAAAAAAGATTTTTAAAAATTGATATAC